>NC_000008.11:136016299-136318377 GCF_000001405.40 Homo sapiens | reverse complement strand
TATCATCAATAAAATAATATCTAGAAATAAACATAAGACATGAAAGACTTGTACACTGAACACTACAAAACATTAAGGAAATTAAAGGAGACATAAATAAATAGAAATAACTTTTGTGTTCATAGATTGGAAGACTCATATATTGTAAAAATGTTCATACTATGCAAAGTGATCGTCAGATTCAACACTATCCCCATCAAAATCCCAATGACATTTGTTTTATGAAAATAGAAAAGACAATCCTAAAATTTATATGAAAATATAAAAGATCCCAGATAGCCTAAGCAATCTTGAGAAAGAAGAATAAATATGGAAAAATCACACTTCTTACTTCAAAATACATTAAGAGCTACATTGATTAAGATATTATGGTACTGGCATAAAGACAGGCATATAGACCAATGGAACAAAGTGGAGAGCCAGAAAACAACTCCACACATACAAGATCAACCTATCTTTGACATGGATGACAAGAATACACAAAGGGCAAAGGATAGTTTCTTCCACAAATGATGCTGGGAAAACTGGATATTCACTTGCAAAAAAAAAAAAAAAAAAAAAGAGAGAGAGAGAAAGAAAGAAAAAAAAGAAAGAAAGAAAAGAAAGAAATTGGACATGTACCTTAAAGCATACAGAAAAATCAACTAAAATTGTATTAAAATTTAAAAAAAGGCTTAAACATAAGACCTGAAAATGTAAAACTCTTAGAAGAAACAGAAGGAATAGCTTTGTGGCATTGGTCTTTACAATGATTTCTTGGAATTATACAGAAAGAACAGGCAACCAAAAAAATATATATACAAGTAGAAATACATCAAACTAAAAACTGTCTGCATAGCAAACAACAGAATGAAAAGGCAACCTAGGAAATAGAAACCAACATTTGCAAATCATATATTTAATAATTGGTAAATTTCCAAAATGTGTAAGAAACTCCTACATCTTACTAGCAAAAATAAAATAATAAAATAAAAATAAGATAATCTAACTAAAAAATGGGAATAAGGCTTAAACTGATGTTTCTCCAAAGAAGACATAAAAAGGACTAATAGTCCAGGCGCGGTGGCTCACGCCTAGAATCCCAGCACTTTGGGAGGCCGAGGCAGGCGGATCACGAGGTCAGGAGATGGAGACCTTCCTGGCTAACACAGTGAAACCCCATCTCTACTAAAAAGGTACAAAAAAATTAGCCAGGCGTGGTGGTGGGTGCCTGTAGTCCCAGCTACTCGGGAGGCTGAGACAGGTGGAGCTTGCAGGGAGCCCAGATCACGCCACTGCACTCCAGCCTGGGCGACAGAGCGAGACTCCGTCTCAAAAAAAAAAAAAAAAAAAAAAGCCCAACAGGTATACGACAGGTGCTCAACATCATTAATTATCAAGAAAAGGCAAATTAAAACTACAATGAGATATCACTTTACACCTGTTAGAATGGCTGTTACAAAACAAAACACAAAAAAAGATATCAAGTGTTAATGAGGATATGGAATAATTGGAACCCCGGTACCCATTTGGTAAGAATGCAAAATGGTGTAACAGCTATGGAAAACTATATGGAGATTACTAAAAATAAAAAATAAAAATAGAACCACCCTGTGATCCAGAAATCTCACTGCTAGGTATATGTCTAAAAGACTGAAATCAGTATTTGAAGAGATTTCTGTATTTTCATGATCATTGCAGCACTATTCACAATTGTAAAGACATGGAAGCCACATAAATGTCCATCTGCAGAAGAATGGATAAAAAATAGTATTTCATGGTATATCACCGTTCATCTGTCAATGGACATTTGATGGATATATACATATATATGTACCATGAAATACTATTCAGCCTTCTTAAAAAGGAAATGTTGCGATTTGTAACAACATGGATGAACCTGGAAGGCATTACGCTAAGCGAAATAAGCCAGGCACAAAGACAAACACTGCATCATTCCCCTTATACGAGGTACCTAAAATAATTTTCCTGGTTGCCAGGAGCTGGGAGGTGGGGAAAATGGGTAGCTGCTCAATGTGTGTAAAGTTTCAGGTATGCTAGATGAATAAGCCCTGGAGATCTTTGGTACAGCACAGTACCTACAGTTAACAGTACAGTATTGTGCACTTCAAAATTTGTCAAGAGGCTAAATCTCCTGTTCAGTGTTCTTACCACAAAAAGAAAACAAGACAAAACAAAAAATAAACAAAAACAAAAGGACATGAGGAAACTTTGGGAGATGTTCAGTATGTCGATTACCTTGATTGTGGTGATGGTAACATGAGTGTTTGGGTATGTGCAAAGTCATTCAATTGATCACATTAAGTATGTGCAGTTCTTTGTATATCAATGATATCTCAATAAAGCTGTCAAGAAGAAAACAAGCAAACATAGACTTTCAAAATCATAGTGACTTTGATACTGAAAATTAAACTAAGTGCTGTATTTGAGTCAGAATCCAACTGTACCAGAGTGAAATATCTTCTCAATCGCTTCCCTCGTTCATCTGTATGATTGGCTCTGGACTAAAGTTGGATCTCTTCTACAGGCAGTCCAATGAGATAGCACAGGACTCATACTCCCTCTGGAAGAAAGTGCCGCTGCAAAACCTAAGGAGATGGGGGTCTTTCCACCTCAGTCAATTGGGTGATATAATTCCAAATATTTTGCTGTCATTTCTTTTGGAATATACGTGTGTGTGTGTGTGTGTTTGTGTGTGTATTATCCTGAACTATCTCATTAAAAGTGAGCAAGTTTCAACAAGTTCTTCTTCTAATGGTTTGTAATAATCATAATCATCTCTGAGCACCATCAATACATGCAAAGGGGACCAGAACATTCCTGCTTGTTTAACTTGTGCCTTATTACTATTTTTTAATGTGATTGTCTAAGAATGGTGGGATGGAGGCCGAAAAGATAAACAATAACAGTTTAATTTCATGCATTAATATTTCATTTCACTATTTCCACCTTTTACTGTGGCAATGTGGATGAGTCCATGTCTTTTAAAAACAGAAATGAGAACAAAAATTGATTTCTCACAATTTTCAGATAATCAGATCTAGTAAAGTTTGAGGATATTTCATTGAATGGATCGTTAAATATGGTA
This sequence comes from Homo sapiens, assembly GCF_000001405.40. Classification (NCBI taxonomy): domain Eukaryota; kingdom Metazoa; phylum Chordata; class Mammalia; order Primates; family Hominidae; genus Homo; species Homo sapiens. Next base: position 136,315,289 of record NC_000008.11, on the reverse strand, counting down.
AGTAGCAACCTTTACTTATTTACTATTGCCTGCCGGTTCCTAAAGGAAAGCTGCAAAACCTTATCTGATCCGCTTTGCAAAATCTCAGTGGAGTGAGTGGCTACCATGACTTATCAATTTCTTCAAGAAATAATAGGCATCTTAAGCCTAGTTTCAGTATTTAGATTTCACCAAGACTTCAAAAGACAAGAACTTTGCCCTTGATAGTATTTCACAATTCATTGCACGATTTCTTCTCTACTCCCACTCCCTAAACAACATGAAAATAATGGAAAGATGAAGAGGAGGAGCAAATTGAAGTAAATAAATCTCTCTAAAACAACCTTCATCCCCAGTTCAGCCTCAGAAACCAAAAATCTTTTCCTTTTCCTTCTTAGTGTTTCCATCGTGTGGCCTACAGGACCCTTTATTGAATATGAACATTTTCCAGCACTTTGACACCAAGAACATTTGGGTTCTTTCAGAAGCCCAGCTTTAATTAAGGTAAAAACATTTAAATTGATATATTCTACAACTTAAAAAAGGGAAAGGTGAAAGCACCACATAATAAAATAAAAGTAATGTTAGTTATTATTACAGGAACTCTGCAAATACAAAAGCAACAAGCAAATTCAGAATTGTACATTTTTATCACAGTGTCTAATAGTGGAAAATATCCTAGTTTGGTTCCCAAATGAATCCTTCTTCAGTAATAAAGACTATTGTAAACTAAACCTTAATTATTTACTCATTTAGTCATTAAAGCATGTTAACAAACACATTCAGACATACTATGTATATGAATGTATATTTTACTAATGATAAATGATTAAAAAAGCCATACAATGTAGTATTTTATGCTTAAGCTATGACATAACCGCCTATCTTTTCTTTCATGACTGGTATTTTTTAAGTAACTAGGTAAGTGATTTATGGAATCTCCTAACCTCTGATTGTTTACTCATGGTGTGATTTAACTTGTTCCTCTATCCTCTGCATTTCCCATAAGCTAGAGGTCAGGACTAATGTCTCATTAGATTAAGAATGAACTTTTTTTGAAGGAAAGAAATATTCCAGGTGACGCAACACCCTAGGAAGGACATAGCATTAAGTAGTCCCAACAATAGTGATGATGAGTCGAAAATCTTGCACACAGTAAATATTTTTTTTCCAAACTTTCTTACATGCAATCATTTTAAGCATCAGCTAATGATTTTTACTTGAATTGTTTCACTAATAATTGTAAAATTGTTATTTTTAGTTTAACGTTCTTTCTATAGTTATTGACTGACATTCTTCTGTAAAAAAAATCACCCTTCTCTCATCAGCTGGGTATGAACCACGGTTCCTTCTGAAAAAGTCAGAGTAGGTATTCCTTCTTTCCCTTTAATTAACATTTTTCAGTTTGAGAAGGGGTATATTTGTCACTTACAAGAGCTGCAATTTGTGATAATTTTCTAATATTATTACAGATTAATTTTTATAATTTGTGTATTACAACCTTTCATGGATTAAAAAAAATGTTTAAACCAAATGCAGTATGTGGATACTATATGATTCCTAATTTAAAAATAAAGGACATTTTTAAGATACTGGGATATTTGAATATGAATTAGATTTTAAATAATATCAGTGAATTTCATTATGTTTCTGAGGGGTTACAAGAAAAATGAGGTAACTTAGAAAAATGCTTTTAGAAGAGGTATGGTTAACTATTTCAGGCTAAAGTTCCATAATGTTTGATACTTATTTTTAATAGTTCAACAAAATGTGTGCGACAGTGTGTGTGTTTCCATGTGAATCGTAATTCAATTTATAGCCAACATGTAGTTCTTTCAATTTTTTGCTGATAATTTTTGCAATAGTTGGCAAGAATCATGAAAATTGATTTTGTCTAATCGAGCTAAGTTTTCCTGGAGCACTTAAATGTCAAACATGTGAGTTACACAAAATAAACTTAGGATATGCAGAACTGATATCTCTACTCAGGACTAGGGAGCAAAAATGGCTCTCAGTTAGCCACCTAATCCTTTCTGGTATTATAGAGCCTGCATTGCTGGCTTCTTGCCTGTCTGACTTTCATCCTCCCTATGGATTCAAGGAGCAGATTGAAGGATATCCAAGACCAGCTACATAATTTGCAGGGCCCATTGCAAAATGAAAAGTCAGGGCCCCTCATTCAAAAAGTATTACAAATTTTGAGACAGCAACAGTAGAACATTAAGCCAAGAGAAGGGCTCTTCTGAGCCGAGGACCCTGTGTGACTGCACAGACCGCTAGTGATAGAGCTGGCCCTAGGGCTGCCTCTTATTTGAAACACTCCTCATGGTTCGGCTGATAAAATTCAAGCCTACTTAAATGCTTCGTTAAAATGCTGATAGAAGACAATGTGATCCTCCTTGAGAGCAAACTACTCAATTATTTTGTCTTCATGCTTGTATGTTTGGCATTGTGTTTAATGCTTTGTACACCCTTAAAGAAAGAGCAGAGGAGAAACTTAGTAAATTTACAAAGGAAGGAGTTTGTTAGTAGATTCATTTCTGACAAATCACTTCAACTCCCATATACTCATATTCTTGACTTTTAAAAATAGATATTATCTCTATTTCACAGAGATTTTATGTGAGAAAATATCAGATAATTCTATTGCCTTATTAGAACTAAAACACTTTATTAATACAATTCGTGGTAAACGTATGAATTGCTTGATTGATATACATGGAATCTACATCTACAGTATCCCAAGTGAGAATGCGGAAGGAACATACCCATGTGACTGGTGGAGATGGCCAAATCCATAACACACATCCTGGGATTCCCTTTCATCAGTGTAACCAAATAATCACAGCAAAATCCAACCCAAATTGTACTACCCAGGCTCACACAGAGAAAAACAATACGATTCTTCCTGCAGAAGCAGACACCAGGAGGCAACGTGACAGAAAAACAACACATTCTCTGGTTAGCACTGATTCCGTTTAGTAGCTATGAGGTCCTAAGCATGTAACGTAACCTTTCTGAACCTCTTATCCCTTATCTGTACAGTGAGCATAACAGATGATATTGTGCACTATGACCATTAGATGCTATACAAGTGCCAAAATATTAGCCTTAGGTTAATGCCATATAAATTGTAGTTTACATAATAATAATAACAACAACAGAAACAAAACCACACCACAACATTTATTACAAGGTTATTTTTCTTTTTTTTCTTTTTTTCTTTTTTTTTGAGACGGAGTCTCTCTGTCACCAGGCTGGAGTGCAGCAGCGTGATCTCGGGTCACTGCAACCTCCACCTCCCGGGTCCAAGCGATTCTCCTGCCTCAGCCTTCCGAATAGCTGGGACTACAGGCACATGCCACCACGCCCAGCCAATTTTTGTATTTTTAGTAGAGACGAGGTTTCACCATGTTGGCCAGGATGGGCTCGATCTCTTGACCTCATGATCCACCCGCTTTGTCTTCTCAAAGTGCTGGGATTACAGGCATGAGCCACTGCACCCGGCTGGTTACTTTTCTTTACAATTGCCGTAGTTTAGATATTTGTCACTCCAAACCTTATGTTGAAATGTAATCCCCATTGTGGGAGGCAGGACCTAACGGGAAGTGTTTGGGTCCTGGAGGCAGATCCCTCACGAATGACTTGGTTCCATCCTTAAGGTAATGAGTAAGTTCTCCCTCTGTTGGTTCCTGTGAGTGAGACCTGGTTGTTGAAATGAGCCTGGCACCTGCTCCTTGCTTCCTCTTGTACCATATGATCTCCCAACATGCTGGTTTCCTTTCCTCCTTCACCTTGGATGGGAGTGGACTGAGGCCCTCGCCAGATGCAGATACCAGTGCCACTGCATCTTGTGCAGCCTTCAGAACCATGAAGCAAATACACCTCTTTTCTTTATCAATGACCCAGCCTCAGGTACTTCTTTATAGCAACACAGACTAAGACAACAGTGAACGGAGAACAAGAGCACTAGACCACATTGCCCACCAGCTCTCACAAGATCAAAACTTCCCTCTTGCTTTCACCTTCTCTTCATGCTTTAAATTTCTCTTTAAACAATTTGGCTCAACAGAATTAATACTTTTCTGGCTTGCTTTTATCTTATGGGTACCTGTGTTATCCTGTTGGTGGTTAAGGAGTTGAAGTTCCTGGGTCTTATTCATGATTCCACTAGGTAATGCCTTGCTAGAATTTTTGTTAATGTCAGACTTAATCTAGTTCAGTGGTTTCACAGTCCAGACAGTGATTATGGTGGCATTTTTTATGTTGCAAACCTTAAGTATATCATTTTGTACTTATTAAACTATCATTTTAAAATTAGAGGTCACCTTATCCATTATGATCTAATGGATAAAGGATACACTCTCTACAGTACATTGGGATAATTTTTCTGCTTAATTTATTCTGGAGAGAATACCACATTTTCCAAATGCATAAACTAATTTTCATAGACAGCCACATTCAGAGACAGACATTTACTTTCATTCATTTATGCATTAGATTTAGTAATTCATTTATTCCATAGTAATTCAACAGAGATCTATAGACTAGGCATCCAGCACTGTTTTTAGGTGTTATTTATACAAATAAAATGAAATAACCTGGCTTTTTCTGTAAAAAAATCACAGAATCTAACACAATGTAATCTGAGCACTAATGAAGGTCTTTTTTTACAAGTGTAGAGAGATCCAAGAAGGGGGAATGCCTAAGTCTACTTGAGGGCTTCAGGATCTGAGACTTGAAATCTGAAGAGTTTGGGAAAAGTATAGAACCAAGGAAGTTCATTCCAGACCAATGGCAACGCCACAGTATACACATGCAGTAGTAAGTCCTTTGTGTTGACAGACATTTATACAAAGTCTGTCAATCTAACAAGCATGCTGAGAAAGATAGGGGGTTGTGATATATGTTTCCCTAAGAATCTTAAATCCTGAGATTTTAGACATAGCTAGATTGGCCTATAGTTCACCCCGAGTAAGTCTGTTCTTACATTGTTATAAGGCCACACATGAGACTTAATAATTTAAAAGAAAAGAGCTTTAATTGGCTTATGGTTCTGCAGGCTGTACAGGAAGCATAGCGACTTCTGCTTTTGAGGAAGTCTCAGGAAGCTTCTAATCATGGAGGAAAGCGAAGGATGAGTGAGGCTTCTCACATGGCAGGAGCAGGAACAAGAGAGAGAGAGTGAGGGGGAGGGTGCTACACACTTTTAAACAACCAGATCTCACAAGAACTCACTCACTGTCATGAGGACAGTACCCAGGGAGGTGGTGCTAAACTGTTCATGAGAAACCCACCCCCATGATCCAATTACCTCCCACCAGGTCTGACCTTCAACACTAGGGATTAAAATTTGACATGGGATTTGGGTGGGGACACATATCCAAACTATATTAATACCCAGTCATTAGTGGGAGCAAAGCCAAATAATAAACTGCAATCATGATTGAAGATAGAAAGCTTTGGTTAGGTCTAAAATGTTGCACTGAGAGTCTGAGAAGTGAGGTCAAATGGTGATCAGAAAAATGAGTCACAAAGCCAGAAACCAAGAAATTCCAGAAAGTTCCTGGAGGTCAAGGTGAGAGGTTTAAGACAGAAAAAAATAGATAATGTGAAGACATCAAAAGTCTCAGTTTTATGTGGCATGAATCTATTTGTTTGGGGATAAACTAGGTTACTAAAAGGCATTAAGAAAAATTATACATCTGTAGTTGGCTTAGCAGAGGTTACAGAGGTGAGCGACTTGGGGATCTGAAGTTATGAATCAGATATGGCTAAAACAAAGATGATACCCAACGTAGATTATCATCATTATTACCATCAAGATACTCCATAGTACAACAATCACTTATGCAAGGTCTCATTAGCATCAGATTCATCCGAATATTTGCATAGCTCTCTGTAGTTTTATTTTCATCATACTTAATCTTCACTAAGGTAACTTATCTTTTCTCATATTTCCGTGGGCCAGCAGAGAAAACTCTAGAGAATTTCTGTTGGTTAGGGTTGTGCCCACTGGCACATAGCTTACTAATCTGTGCTTTGGAAGGCTGTTCTTCAGTGTAAACCTAAACTTCCCCACTATATAAATGTGTGGAAGTTAATTAGCCTCTCTATCCTCTGCCTCCACATCTCTAAATTGGGATGGTTTATTCCTCAGTGAGTATGAGAATTAAATAAGTTATTGCAGGTAAAGTGCTTAGCATGGGGCCTGCCTTAGAGTAAATTAAAAACTCATGAAAGAGTAGCTAATAGCAATCATTGTCTTTCAGAACTTCTTATTAAACATGTAAACAGAAACACACACAAACATACACACATCCCTCTTTCCCAACCCAAAGTCCTTCCGACTTCCCAGATCACATGCCTCTTTCCTTTCATTGAACCCCAAACTCTAAGACAGTAAATCAGCAGATTCAGAAAGGAACGAAATTGTACCCCATAAAATTCAGGTGATATTGTCAGATCTAGATGGCAAAATAATTGTTTTTAAAATATTCGAAGAAATAAAAAAAATGAGTCCACAGGATAAGTAGAGGATATTATTTTTTAAAAAAGAACAGAAATATTTCAAAAACGCTTCAAATAAAAATGCTGGAATTGGAAAGTTGTCATCATTGAGATAACAACGATCTTAACAACGGTAATCGTAATCAACAGATGGGTTAAAGAGCAGATGTGAAACACTGCATTAGAAGACGAGCGTGAGGAAATCACCCAGAACTCACTATGGCAACAGGGTGAAATAGATAAGAAAGTTTAGATGTTAACCATGGAAAGAAAGGATTAAAAAAACTCCCAAGCTCTGACCCTTTTCTTTCTCTTCTTCCTTTGTGTTCTCATCCTCCTTCTTTGCCATGATCTATTTCCTCCATTAACTATTTTTGGCTGAAACTTTATAGCTTGTGAAAAACTTTGAAATGCATTATCTCGCTGTATCTTCACAGCAAATCTTTGAGGTAATTGGATTTGAAGTTTTAAATTTCCATTGAACAGATAAATTGCCTGAGACTCTTGAAGAAGAATAAAACAAAAAAAAAGTGCTAGGGCCAAACTAACTTTTATATATTCAAAACCTAGTAGTATGCATGACTTGGGATAAATCATCCATAGTGTGGGCCAATATGCTTTAAGGCAGCCCCCATGCTAAGCACTTTCTTTTCATTAACTTATTTAATTCTCACACTCTCTGAGGAATAAACCGTCCCAATTTAGAGATGTGGAGGCAGAGGACAGAGACTAATTAACTTCCACACGTTTATATAGTGGGGAAGTTTAGGTTTACACTCAGGAACAGCCTTTCAAAGCACAGATTAGTAAGCTATGTGCCAGTGGGCACAACCCTAACCAACAGAAATTCTCTAGAGTTTTTTTCTGCTGGCCCACGGAAATATGAGAAAAGATAAGTTACCTATTTTAGTGAAGATTATAGGATTTTATTTCACAATAATATTTTCATTTACAAGACATATGGACAGGTTTTGGAGAAAGTGTTATTGCTTCTTTGTTCTGAAATCCATTGTCTTACACACATTTTAGCTACATGTAGAGAAGGAACAGCTGGAATACATGTGAACAGAGGGTACGGATCTGTGGAACATTGAAGTACTCAGGAAAACCTGAGAAAAATCCCTCTTATCCTGGAATCGAAATTCCTTATAAAAAGACACACTTAGGGTTACCGCAAAAATCATCTAGACCTAAATTTATAAAACTAAACTTTATATATGATAACAAAATAGTTGGTGAACATGTGACACTTAGGGTCATCGCAAAAATCATCTAGACCTAAATTTATAAAATTAAACTTTATGTATGACAACAAAGTTGGGATATGTGAATGATTGCTTGATCAGATCTTGGTGGAGAGTGGACCAGCTGGACACATCTTGTTTCTGGCTGGCAGAAACAAGGCTGGCTTCATAAGAAGAAAGAGTGCTTTGTCTCCCTTCTGGCTGGGACAACCCAAGGCATTAGACTCTATCTGCAGCTGAGCTGTTGCTGGCAAAGCTGGTGCAAACACCATCAGAAGAGCTGTCTTAAGGAAAGCAGGGATGGGGGAAGCTCAGCATCTCAGAGACCCACAGGAATCTGAGGGGACCTTCCCATCCATGATGCTCAAATGGTGTGTGTCAACCACTGCTGGCAGACGTGGGACATAAGCCATTTGGTAAGACACCTCGCTCCACCTCCGTATGAGTCGAAGGGTGGTGGGTGATGGCAGTAACAGTAAGCTTGTGGGTTTAACACATAAGTGTAGATATAAGTGCATCCTATATTATTAGGCCCAACTATCCATAAAATACCCAGACGTATTCAAAACAAGCCTGGAAATGGAGTGACTGCCGTTGACCAGTGTAAAGCTTGACCATGTAGGAAATTCCTACGTGAGTGGGAATTCCATCATTTTAAGCCTCAGTGTTTTAACCTTCAAACGATATGTCATGAAACACAGGGGTATATGATGTTCCTTCTAGTTTAAGCGTATTGTGTGTATAGAGGTTTACATCATGTGGGAAAATGTATTTCTGTGGCTCTCAAGTAAGAGCCTATGGGGTGGTCATGAAATTATTAAGAGGAATCTTGGACTTATTTTCAATTGTTTAAAAAGCCAAATAGAATAATAGATTTAACCTTGAAAAAAAATCCCTAAACAAAATGCCAAGTAGTTTGTCTTGGCAAGAATTATCAAGATTTGGTGTATAAACTCAGTCATCTTCTGCTGGCCCAGAGATCTGTAAATAGCAAATGTGTCTGAAAAAAATAGGAAATTAAAACATTATTAACTTTCTATTATGTATTTATTTTAAGTAAACGTAGAACTCAGTCACAATAAATATAAGGTGAGACAGCTACTATTATTGTCCAAATTTTTGAAAACTATTTTACATTTTAAAATTCATACCAATATTTGTTCCAGTAATCCTATTTCTAAAACTCCGTGTAAAGAAAATAATATCAAAGACAAGGCTATATATATTTGGGTCATGTCCATGATCAAGTTCCCTTTAAATTTTGTTCAGTCTGTCTTGCTTTATTTAACAATCTACAACATGGGCTTCGTTTATTTATTCATTCACTTATTCACACTCATACATAGGGATGCTCACTCCACTTGAGCACCATACTTGATATCAAGAATGAAAGAGCAGGGCTGGGCATGATGGCTCACGCCTGTTATCCCAGCACTTTGGGAGGCCAAGGCAGGTGGATCACTTGAGGTCAGGAGTTGGAGACCAGCCTGGCCAACGTGGTGAAACCCTGTCTCTACTAAAAATACAAAAATTACCCATGTGTGGTGGCGGGTGCCTGTAATCCCAGTTACTCAGGAAGCTGAGGGAGGAGAATCGCTTCAACTTGAGAGGTGTAGGTTGCAGTGAGCCCTGCAATCCAGGCTGAGTGACACAGCGAGACTCCATTTCAGACAAAACAACCACAAATAGAATGAAAGAGCAAAATACATGACCAAGAAGGAACTGGCAAAATAAATTCTGCCACAAGCATATCCTGCAAGGTTGTGCAGAAATTGCAAATGTTAATTAGGAACAGCATGTAGGAATATAGAAAATCATTCTATTACAATGTTTAAAATTGAAATGTAGATAAAATTGCATGTGCATTATAACTATGTCAAATATGCTATAAAATAAAATGGAAGGAAAATCAAAACATAAATAGTTTTTTCTTAAATTAGCATAGATATTAAAAAATGTATACAGAATACGCATATGAATATAGAATAAATTGTAAGGAAAAATCCAGATCCGAAAGTTGTGTTTTTTTATTAGTTTGGATACTAGTAATAGTATTGTTTCTTTTGATTAATGTGGACAACCTTATGATTTTTTATTAGTGTGTTGTTTGTCACTAGTAGATATATTTCTCTGGATTTTTAAAATGTTCACAGTTCCCCTTATGTTAGTATTTTTATAAGTAAAATACTAAAGTAAAAATGGGAACAAAATTTAATTTATAAATATATTTTGTTTAGTAAAAGATTGCAAAATACGGGGACTGTTTGAGAGAAAATAATAGAATCTGTGACGCAGAAAAAGTGGACAAATTATGTTTTCTATCAACCTGAGACCTCTATTAGTGACATAACTTCATACTTGACAAGAAGCCTCCACATCCACAGTTTAGCACTATGTATGGCTCAGAGAGGGGGCTCAGTATTTGCTAAATGTTTGTTATTGCTTTATACTCCTAAAGGCCTCATCATGTGAGACTTGAATCAGGAAAGTGAAGAGACTTGCTCAGTCCCACAGTGGGGCCACGGTGGACACATTGGAAGAAAATACAATTTCTCGCATCCTTCCCCAGCAATGTTTTCATTGCACTAAACAGTCACTTTTTGCAAAGGTATTTTTTCCTGTAGTGACATTATAATTAGGAAATCTTTCAGCCATTTAGAAAAAAAGACCTTCATTAAAGTTTAAAACCCTTCTCCAGGTGTAAACACTCATCGCTTCAAACCTCATGACTGTTTTTAATTACAAAAAGATGAGCCATTCTTTTAGATTATGCCAACAAAAATTGATTTTACATGTATAAAAGTTTATCACCAACTCTTAAAGTTCTACCTCCCTCTGTCACTCTGTCACCATTTCTAAGGGAGTTGGCAGGACAACTGTTGATGCAGAAAGATCAAGATGGAAAGGGGTTATAGGGATGAATGGCAATTCAGCTCTGTCTTTCCTTCTCAAGTAATTAAAAATTAAAATGAGAAACAGGACCCAAAACTGTATTAGCCCCTGACTGGTTCTTTGCTTCTGTTATTATTAACTTTACACACCTGAAGACATGGCCTCATCACCTACTGGCTTGGTCTAATGTGCTCTATGGAACCAATCCTCCCTGAGTTAGTGTGATCATTTGAATCATTTCCAGGATCAAGTTCCCTTTAAATTTTGTTCAGTCCATCTTGCTTTATCTAATGATCTACAATATGGGCTTCATTCATTTATTCATTCACTTATTTAAACTTATGATATCCTTCGTATATGCCAGGCGCTGTGAAAGTAAGCTTGTCAGATCAAGTTTTGTGCAGTTTCTCAACATCTCATTTTTAAATAGTAATGCTTTCCTAAGAGGCATATATATATATATTTGTAATTTTTTTCTCTGGTCACCCTACCATGTTTATGTACCAGGGCCCTTGAAAGGGCCCTTTAGAGGGTCCCAGATCATTGTAATATCTAACATTTAAAAATTTTTTTGCCCAAAGAACTAATTTTCACCCCTAGATGACATCACTCCTGTTGAGAATACACAAGCTAATGACAGAAAGAAAAAAAATATATGTATATATTCAGTAGTTGTCTGACACATTTGCTTTGGAGAAGGACCACACAGCTGCTACAGGAGCAATGAACCAGGGGCTATACCCCAGACTGGAGACATCACAAAAGGATTCTACAGTAGGCGGGAAGGAGTCCTAGAGTGAGTTTGAGAGATGACTGAAAAGAGGTAAAGCAAAGACCAGTGCCAGTGGAAGGTACATCACCGGCCTGAAGACAAATGTCCTGTGATGGCAAATGTGTTCTCTAAGAGGCTTCCATCAAATTTTTGGCATTTAAGACTTGTTTATTTCATTATGCACCACTTGGCTTTATGCTTAGTTAGTTACAAAAACAAAACAAAACAAAAACCAACAAAAATTCTCAAAATGTCCAAAAGAATTTCCTATATTCTCTCCAGCCTACCTTTTCCAAATTCAATCATGTGTCAACTGAAATCTACTTTCTGACTTGCTGTTTGTGATTGATTTCATTCAAACTATTTGTGGTTTCTGCAGGAAGGCTGTATCCATCCCAAATCATGGTTCTTTAAATCTCTGCCTAAAAGTGGCACATGTCACATTCACTCATGTAAAACTGGCCGAGACAAAACAGATATTTCTCATGTGGTTCCATCATTTCTCTTTTCCCTTCTGCCACAAAGATGCAAAACCTAAGTAGGAGCTATCTCTCATCATAGGTTCCAGAATGCAGCATACATGGAGTATACTCAGACAACTCACAATGCCCATGAACAAGAATGAGAAATGAACTTTGTTGTGGAATGCTATAAAGATTATGATTCATTTGTTACTGAAGTATAACATAGCCTAAGGTGACTAATACATTCTTTTCTCACTGCTCTGTATTGGCTAATGCATGTGGTCTTTTGAATAGTTAGACCTTAGTCTTCTTATTAATATTTTTATTCAGATTGTTCTTCTGTGTGTGGTGTTCTACAATGGCAAAAACCACAATTAATTTTGAACCAACCTCATATACTAGCTTTTACTGGCACTTAGTACCAGATCTATATATGAAGAATGCTGCATATGTGGACTACTGTTGATCGGACATTCTTCTAGTCAATTCATTTCATTTAGAAGGTGAGAGAAGAATGTGAATGTCATATCCTTTCTCTATAAGAAGATGTTTAAAATATAAGTTCAAAGCTCATAGTCCAGTGCTCATGTATCAGCTGTCAATTATGTTGAAATAAATCGCACTGAAATTAACAATTTATGAAAATCATAGAGTTGATGACTTGAATTAAGACTAAATTTCAAACAGGATCATTTACTTTTTGTAATAATACCCATTACATTTGTATAACACATTATCATTTACATCATGTTTTCACATGCATGATTTTGTTAAACTCTTACAATCCGAAGTAGTACAAATTTTTAATATACTATTATACAAATAAATAATCTTCAGGTCCCCAGGATGTGTACAAAAACATTGTTATGGGATAAGAAAAGAAGAGGAAATTAATGTTAACAATAGCGTCTATACAAATTTTAAATAGAATTTGGGATTAATGTCCAAGATATTTTCCAAATTATGTCAGCAATTATGTACTAGAGATTGTGAATTAAACAAGAGAGGTATAGACCCTAATTTTATATATGTTAGAAGTCAACAGAATGATATTTTTAAAACTCTCAATTTAGTGTTTGAATTTAACTTTTTAATTTTAACTATAATAAAACAGAAATATTGGGTGCATCACAATAGATTTTAGGGTCCTGACCTGTACTGGGGCGATCACAAATGTTTTCTTCAAGAAATTTCTGAGTTTTGAAAGATGTATGAAAATTTTTCAAGTGAATATTCAGGGCTGGCTGCTGAAAATATATCTCCAAGTGATGGAAATACATGCAACATTCCTTAGGTGGAAAGGAACACGATGCTTGGAAAGAAAAAGGAAACCAATATGGTTACAGGGCAGAAAATGACAAGAAGAGTGACATCAGCTGGTGGTGGTGAAGAAAGCAGGGGACGGTCCTGCCTTCTTTGTAGACCAGGCTAAGGATGGTGACCTTTTTCTTAGAGCAATGGAAAATTATTTTAAGTAGGGAAATACATGATTAAGTTTGCATTTTTAAAAGTTCATTCTCGATGTAGTGCAAAAACAGATAGGAGAGGGGCAAAAATAAATTTAAGAAGACAAGGTAGGAGACCAGAAACAGAAGAATAGTTTCCTGTCATGAAGAGACATTTGAAAGGAGTAGTCTACTCACGACTTAATTGTGAAATACTAGCTCTATTATCATTATAATGAGAATCAAAGCATGGACTTGGGATAACGCTTCACAGATATGAGAGGTGGAAAGCCTGGAGCTCAAGGTGCTATCCCAAACTGAGGAATGCAGAACTTCAGGCTGCCAGAGGTGAAGTACATGTGTTAACGTTCTTAGGTGCTGTCGGGTAGGTGCTCAATAACGGTTTCCTTGGTTTTCCCTTTTCTGTCTGGATACACTAAGAAAAGACCTGTATTAATCATGCATTTTTATTTTCTGTATTTTTTATGCTCTGGCATCTGGGGTCTTGCTGTCCCTGGAGACACTGCTCTTTTCAGACCTAGTTAATTCTTGGTGACATAAATGACTCACTTGAGAGCACCTCTTTCATATGCAAATGAACCCACCCCGAACCCAAACCCCAACCACCTCCTCTACAGGCTCTTACACTCTGGGCCACTATTCCTCTACTGTAATCACCAAGAACCAGGTACCAGATAACTAGAGACAGGCCCTATACCCCAGAGGCTGTGGAAGTTATTCAAACTAGCCAATCCTAAATCTATATATCTGCCTCACTTTTTCCTTCCCACAGAAACACCAATCAAGGCTCTTCCCCATTTTTCTTGCCCTTCTGCCTTCTGACCCACACCTTGCGTGACCCTATGTGACCCTGTGTGGTGTAGTGTGCCATCTTCTCTTGGGAACTGTGAATATAATAAACTATCTTTACAATGACATCATCTAATCTATTGACATCAGCATACCTGGAAATTTAAATAACAAAAACAAAAAAACTGCATTTTAAAACAAGACCTTCAGCAAACCCAAGCCTGCATGTAAAGGCCAGCTCTGGAGGAGGTCCTACCTCATATTTGCAGAGGGCTTGTTTGTGCTAGGCATTGTTGCATTCACTCAGCTAATCCTAACGACACCCCATTATTTAGGAGGACTATATTGACCCCATTATACAGATGGGAAAACTGAGGCACAGTTAGATTAAGTGACTCTCTCTACATCACAAAACTTTCAAATGGTAGAACTGGGCTCCACACCCATTTCTATCTGACTCCAAAGCCTACACTCTTGCCTCCCTGCTGTCATGACAACACATTCTTCCAGGAAATGCGGAGGTGAGAATAAAGAACGTTCTTCAGAGAATGTATGTGAGAAAATTAGTACTGCTCTCAGAGTGATGCTTATTGATGGGGTCATAGATGAGAAAACAGGAGCCATGAAAGCAGTTCCACACGCTGAGACAGGAAAACGGTGCGGTGCAAATGAAGACATCATTGAATTTTTTTCAGATAGGCACCCAGGCCAACATGGTCACTCTCGGAGGTCACATTTGCCTCTTGGCCAGTTCCAGTGATCAGAGTTGATGCTTCCTATAGGCAATTATCCAGGCTGGGGGACTTGCCTCAGTCAATAACTGGAGTGCAGGGAGCTCCAGCAGGGTTATTCACACAGAAGTACTCACAATATACTCTTGCTCCAACTCACAGACCACATGGCCTGAATGGGAGCAATAAGGCCTCTGCAAAGCTGGCCCAGGGCTGTTGAGCAAATTGCAGAGCTGATCTCTCAGCATTAAGAGAAGCCCATTAGCACAACAGAGCTTCTGTGACTGTCAGAACCACTAGATGCCTGGCCATGCCTGCGTGCTCTGCTGAGCCTGGCTGTCAGGGAGCTGGCGATGCCTTTGAGATAGATCAAAGTTAAGTTATATGACTCCACTCACTCCGACTTCTCGAGAAAAGGAGCTTTATGCAGGCTAGGTGCACATAATAGGAATCATTCAATGGCTTTGTAGCTTCTCTTTGGTGCATCATTAGACTGTCCCAGAAAATGTACTAAATAGGAGAGAGATTCAGAATAATAAAAATCAGTATGGCTCAGGAATCAGCCAATCTTAATGAGTGCAGCCCATTGACCTACTGGTGCAGCTTCCCCTACAATGAAGGCAGGGGAGAAACTCCCAGGAGACAACATAAGTAACCCTCAGCCTGACCTGGTACAAAATGGTCAGTGGCAAGATAAACAATGTGACACTTAGTAGGTACAATCTGCTCCCTATTTTCTGGACTCGTGTTCATATTGTCTTTTTCGGTGTGGACTCTAGAACCTGTCTCCCTCATACATCTTCTGCAATACACTCTAAATGCTCTAAGTTTCCGTCAGCATCTTCCCCCAAAACACTCTGACTGCACTCTCTACAATCAGAAAATGAACCACCCATCCCCAGCATATCGCCTTCTCCTCATCAATATCCACCTTTCACAGCCCTATCCTTCTGGATATGGGGAAGTTTTAGGTGTGATTCTCCTGGTTGAGAAACATCTCCAAAACACTGAGAATTTTTCTCTCTTTTATCTATTTTTCTACTTCTCACTGCTATTTCTTTCTATTTTCATCATATCCCTTCACTTTGCTGTAATAAGATGCTGTGTAGAAAGGATGGCTTTCTCCTGCCTGTCTTTCCAGGCCCTTATTTATCTGCTGGTTTGCTGCTCTCCTCACCCTAAGCTGCATCTTGATTGTGTTGAATAAAGAGAAAGACGCTAAGAGTCTCCACAGCAGTGAAGGAGACACTGTGCTTCTGAAGTTGTTTTTTTTCTTTTTCGTTTTTTTTTTAAAGCTACATTGGTACCCAAATATTTCTAGGGTGTTGTGACTGTGGAAGCTGCATCTTGTTTTTTCTTTTCTTACTAATCCAAGCCAAACACTCTTTCTGTTTGCCTTTTAATTTGCATCTGTAAAAAAGATAAATTATAGTTCACAATTTCTGAAAAGTGGGTGAAAAAAGACATTTTAATAAAGTGAGATCATGGAAGTAAATCACACCTCCTAAGGACCATCAGAATCAGGTGAAAATGATTCTTTGCTATACAACTTTATTGTGTGTTTTTGTTTCCAGCATTTTCTGCCAGTGATATCCTGGAAACTTATGGCTGGAACTCAAAATGGGTTCATAGACCTGTCATGCTCATTTACCTTCTGGGCTCACGTCTGTTACATAGACAGAGCAATGAGAGTATTTAGCAAACATGGATTAATGTTAATTTTGCATCTTTCACATTACTTTCTGACAGAAACTATCCACTCAAACTACATGGACTATTCTCTCCTTAGGAACTGTCTTCTCAATCCAGATTTAGCTACTTAACTGGATCTCAGTAAATTAATTCAGAGTCAATTCATGCATCTCATAGAGAGCATAGTTTTGTCATTTTGTAGTTATATGATGTGTTTAATTCCAATGATGTTTTCAAGTATAATAAGATCATTTTATTCTGAAGATCTAGGTTATAAGGTTTTTCTTAAACACACATATTTCTTCAAAGATTGAAAGACTGAAGAGCTACAACTGATGAAATTTAAAAGAATATGATGTGGAATGTTGAAACATTTTGAGGACAAGAATAGAACTTTGAAGGGGACAATTTAAGTGAGACATCTGGCTTTGAATGAATAAGTCCTTGAACGTCTAATTTGAAAATGCCAACCAATGTTCCTGTGAAGTGAGCACAGATTTTGAAAGTAGTAAGTCCTGGAGATGAAACCTATCCTTGACCTTGAAAAACAGGTGGCTTAACTCACCCAAAACTTTAAATTTTTAAGGTATAAAATGAGGTAATCATCTATGGTGGATAGAGTTATTCTGAAAATCAGAGCCACATATAAAGCTGGATCACTCAAAGTCCAGTCAAGAAATAAAACCCAGTGAGTATTTCACATAGACAGGATCAAGCACACAACAATGATTACACAAGTGTTGGAAAACTGATAGAGCAAAGATGAAAATCAATGACTACAGAAAGCCGTGACTTTCCTTAGATTGAAGGAAGAAGAGAGAAGAATGCATGTTGCCTGAAACTGGAAGCAAAGTGTGGAGCGCATTTGGGGGCTGGTACTGAGACTGCTAAGAAGAAAAAGCAAACCCAGAATGTCCTTGGCTCCAAATGCTTGATTCTACTTTCCGTTCTACTGATTGGAGGAAGACAATGAAAATGTCATCGTTGCAATTAAGACACTGCTATCAGGCTGTCTGGATTCAAATCCAACTCAGACACTTTCTTGTCCTGTATCTTTGAACAAGCCATGAGACCTCTTTATTCTTCAGCTGTGCCTCAGTAAAAGGGGATAATAAGACTATCCATCTCATAGGGTTGGTCTCAGCATTTGGTGAGCCAGTCTATGTACTAGGTGTAAGGCCTGACACTTAGGAAGCACAATATGGGCATTCGCTAATGTTGCCAGCATTATTGTCATTACTCCTATCTTTTAACATTGTGACAATAGAAGTTCCTTTCCTACCATAGAAACCTGGAAGATTATAAAGTAAATATTGTCTCTTTTCACTGAGTGCTTATCTGTTTTGTGATTAGCTGTTCCCAACTGGAGTATTAGCTCATGAGAGGAAGAATCATTTCTGTTTCATTGCAAAGATGTCCTTGGTGTGTGGCACTGTTCCTGGCTTATAAGGCGAATGCATTTAATGCCTGACCATTTAATGCCTGAATCAAATATGTGGCAGCTCCTAATTTCTGGATTGGGGAGCTGAATGGACAACGTGACAGTCCTTCATACAGAGCCTCTCTGAGGGAGATCAGGGAAACCCTGGCATATGAGTTTATGAAACTGAATGAAGTTGCCCAAGAAAAATGTATAAAATGAGAAAAAATGTAATTTTTTAGCATTTACTTTATGTCAGGCATTGTTCTAGGCATTGAGGGAAGAGCTGGGAAATGGAAGAAGACAAAAGCCCTTGATCTCCTAGAGTTTACATGGGTGAGGGGGGACATTTTGACATTAGACATGATAAAAGAGTAAATCACATAGACGATTTAGGGTAAAGTAAATGCTGTGGCAGAAGCTGAAATTTGAAATATGGTTATCAGCACAGGCCTAACTGAGGACACTTGAAGAAAAAGTTGGAGGAAGTGAGGAAGTGAGCCATATGGATATCCATGAGAACATTCCAAGAAGATGAAGAAATAGCAAATGTGAATGCACTGAAATAGAAGCTTATTTGATGTGTTCTAGGAGGAACAAGAAGGCTGTGTGGCCACAGCAGAGTAAGCAAGCAACAAAGTCGTAGAGGATGAAGTCAGGTTAGTGACTAGGTTACACTGAAAACAAACTTCACTGTGAGTGACACGTGGGCGTGGGAGAGGCTGAACAGAGGAATGTCCTAATAGGACTCACATTTCAAAATGACTGCTTTGCCTGGTGAGTTCTTAGTAGCACTCAGGGCAAGGGTGGCTGCAGGGAGAGAAACCAGGAAGTAAATGTAGTAATTAAGGTACGAGAGAAACACTGGCTTCGACCACAGTGGCAGCCGAGGAGGTTGTAAGAAGCAAGTCAGTTTTGGGCAGATAAGAAGGCAAAGCCACGCCAAAAGGATTTTCTCAGTGATTAGATGTGGGACTGTAAAAAAGAAAATTTTAAAAAATCAAGAATTTTTCAGAGGTTTCTGAACCCAAATGCTAAAAAATTGAGTTGCCTTTACTGTGTAAGAAGCAGGGTTGTGTGAAAAGCGGGGACTTCCCCAGCCATCAAACACACTGATACTTAAGGGATGGACAAAGGAAGACAAGCCGATAAAGACACTAAAAAGGATGAGCCTGAGAAAAAAGATAAAACAAATAATGAAATATATTTCTACTGAGAGCGGGAAAGTGAATGATACTTCACTTCTGAAGTGGGAAGGTGGAATATTAATGGCATTTTCTGAGACTATACCATTTAGCCTAAGGGTGAGACAATGAGTTTGTCTCAAATAAGCAGAATAAGTTTTTCTTACAGAAAAGAACCAAAGGTTGCTTGGCAGATGGGCAAGCCTTGAATACTGTATTGCGCAAAAGAAAAAGTGAAGAACAAAATAATTTAAAGTGTATTACCCTTATACTGTAGGGATCTATCCCCTCGGGATTGTAATATGGTCAGTGCTGGCCCATGCTTTGTCTCTGTAGGATGATGAGAAGTATTAAGACTGCACACAATGAAAATCTTTACGGGAAGAAAAAAGACTTGAGATAAGTATACTAGTTTTCTATTGCTTTTGTAACAAATTACCATAAACAAGTTACAAAAAACCCACAGATTTTTTTTGCTGTCCAGTTCCGGAGTTCAGAAACCCAAACTGGGTTTTACTGGACTAAAATGAAGGTATCTAAAGGGCTATACCCCTTCTGAAGTCTCTAGGGAAAATCATTTCCTTGACTTTTTCATTTCTGGAGGCTCCTTGCATTTCAGGCTCATGGCCCCTTTCCTCCATCTCTAAGCCAGCAGCAGCCCCTGCTTTCTTTTGCATGGTTTCTCTCTGTCCTTAAAATTGGCCCCAGATTTCATACAGAATATCTGAATGAAACAAAGGCAAAGCTTTAGTGGTGAGCATGAGATGGCAAGTCTTTTCTTCATAATCATCATAACAGAAAGCAACTGTACCCATTATCTACCCAGTAGGACCTTGACCTCTTTAAGAACCAGGGATGAGTTGACAGGAAAGGAAAGTGGAGTGTAAACCAGTGCTTCAAAACCAGCAGCTGCCACAAACTGTAGTGACCTTTCAGTGTCCCGCCGACTTCCACTCTCTTGCTTCCAGCAGGAGTTAGAATCTAACATTTCTTTACAATGACCTCTCTAACTTCTTGGACTCAAGGTAGGTGAATAAAAAAAGAAAGGAGTTAACAGGGAAGTCAGTCGCTGCCATGGAGAGTGCAGAGGCATGGTTGTCTAGGGTGTGGTTAGTGAATCTATATGAAGTCTAGTCATTGTGTTAGTGATAGAGTTTGGCAGAATGGAGAAAGTGTGGACCTTTGAGTTAAATAGGTCATAGTAGGAATCCCAGGCAGTCTTTCTACTCATGTTGTCTTTGGCAAGTCACTTACCTCCTTAAGTCTTAATTCTTTTGTTCATAAGGTTAAGAAAATAAAAACTCTTTCAGAGGGTTGCTGTGAATGTAAAGGAAAGAGTTACATTAGGAACCCAGTGGAATGTATGACATATGGTGGATACTTGGTATTAGCATGCCCTCCTTAATGATGAAGTTGAGCACAATCAGACAGGGTCAATTTGAGTTTTGAGGGTAAAGGAGAAGGTAGTTAGGACAAACATGTTAATGGGGCACAGGACACTGACAGCAGTGCATAGTCAGGATAAATGCAACTACAGTGATTGGGATTCTCCCAGAGTTCTCTTTGGATGAGCAAAATGGCACCCAAAGGAAACACCTACTGGGAAGCACAGAAGAGGCAGTTGCAGGCATAGGGCTGAGATATTGGGCCATGCCAGTACGCTATATGGAGCAGAGGTTAGTTGAGTGACTTAAATACTAAGCAGCGCTTACCTCCCACTCTGCAAAGCTCCGTGGTGAAAATGGCAGTAAGTGAGTAGAAAGTGGATAGAAGAAGGAGAAGCAAAGGAGGATGCAAAAGAGGAAGAAAAAGAAGAGGAGTCAGAGATAGACTATAAAGTAAAGGAGAGTATGTTTAAAATGAAAATATGTTTTAAAAGTGTTTTGTGCAGTGCATGCTACATACATAGTAGCAAGCCACTACGTATGTGAGTTATTGATATTGGCTGACATCACTG
Source organism: Homo sapiens (assembly GCF_000001405.40). NCBI lineage: Eukaryota > Metazoa > Chordata > Mammalia > Primates > Hominidae > Homo > Homo sapiens. The sequence continues at coordinate 136,294,189 of NC_000008.11, read as the reverse complement.
TAGTTGTTAAGTGAACACACAGTTCACACCCAGGCCTGCCTGCCTTCGAAGCCTGCATTCATTCTCTTTTCTCATTCAACCTTCTAAGTGCTGAGGGAGGAGTTGAGGTGGAGAAATCAGAAGCAGGAGGTAAACCGGTGTGTGTTTATGGCTCAACACAGAGTCAATTCAAGTTTAAAATGAACTTTTAAACCCTAGGGTAAAAGAAAGTATGAGATGAAGTCAAACCAATTGAGACTCAAGACAATGCAGTAAAGGAGGACAGAATATAGCAAGGGCATTCAAGGTATTTACTAAATCCAAGGTCACAGAAGCCTGTTTTTTTTGGAGACAGGGGAATGTTGACCATCACTGAATGGATGAGTTATCTTTATTGAAAAGCACAATATCACATAGCTATGTGTTTGGAATGGAAGTGATTACACCAGCCCACTGTCATGTGGGTGTGGGCATTCTTTAAGGTCTACATGACCTCTTACACATGAAGGGCATAGTTATTTATGTTCTTTCTTTGTGTGCAATAACTATCATGCCTTATCTTGATGAGAGCTGGGTCATTGTCATGAACACCCATTTTTGAGGCCTTTAAATCCCTTTATCTTCTTCAGTATAAACCTTTTCTTCTCCTCTGGGAAACCTTCCTACTCAGAACTGTGATTTAATGAAACTGTCACACAAAGGACTCTCTTCACCATCCTTACTTGTTATACAATAGCCAATTACAGTACTAATTTCTCCAACACCGTGATTGGTTCAAGATAGTGGTGAAATCAGCAAAACTAATCAAAACCTTACCTGAGATGTCCTCTGGAAGAGGAAAGGGTTCTACTCCTCTAGAATATCAAGCAGCAGGACCCCAAGTATCTGCCAAAAACCACATTTCCTGATCACCTGAGTAATGACTCAGCAATATGAAGTCATTTCACAGAGAAAAGTAAATCTGAAATAGAGAGAGACACAGTGACTCATGACATCATGCTAACCTCTGATTCCCTGATTCTCCTCCTGACAAAAGCCAGATGAATTCCTGTACTTTCCACCCAATGCAAACCAATAACTCCGTCTTTCCATTCCCCCATCCCTCCCTTCTTTATCGTTCAGTTTGTGCTAGGTGTCTATTACTTGAAATGAAAAAGTTTCTAATTAAATTAGGAGAAAATATTGAAAAATTAATAACATTTATGTTTGGAGGCATTTGATTCCAACCAGTGGTACAAGGATATATTAAGGAGTATTTTTAGTGTCTAAGATGTGGGCAGAGGAAAAGAAGGCTGAAGGCTGCAGTGACAGAAAAAAAAAACAAAACCTTCAGTTCATCATTTCTAATAGTAGAATTCAAGCACTGCATGTATGAGAATCGATGGAATACCACAAAGGAATATTAACTAATTGCCAAGAATTAGGGGTTGAAGGAAACCACCACGTCCTGGTCAAAGCTCTGCAACAGAGAAACTCCTGCCCAGCAGAGCAAAACTAAAAACACAATGAAAGGCAGTTCAATATGAAGGAGTTAGAATTCATCATGACTAGATTAGAACATTAAAAAAAAGTAACTCTCACCCAATATTAGGCAATTTAGAGGCATGGTGTGCATGGACCCTATGCTCTTTACCCCGGCAGTTTGCAATTAATAACAATGAGAAATTTATCACTTCAAAGATAACATAAATAATATTCTATTTGCATTTGTCTTCTTCACTGTCCACCCACAAAAGCCAGAAAGTGCAGATTGGTGATGGAAGGTGAGGAACCACCTGAATCAGTGACAGAGCCCAGGGGCTGTGGGCGACAGCTATTCTGGTTCCTGGAGAATGTGAGCCTCTTCCTAAAGTGCTCCTGAGGCTGAGAGGCCTGCAGCCAGGGCAGTTCAAGCAAGAGTGTCGAGAGTGTTGTGACTGAAGTAATGCAGGAAGTGGAAGTGTTTACCCAATGCCTATACCCCCATTGTATCTTGAAAGTAGCTAACTTGTTTTTGATTTTACAGGCTCATCAGTGGAAGGCATTTGCCTTGTCTCAGATGAGACTTTGGACTTTTTGGTTAATGCTGGAATGAGTTAAGACTTTGGGGGACTGTTGGGAAGGCATACTTGTATTTTGCAGTATGAGAAGGATATGAGATTTGGGAGGGGCCGGAGATAGAATGATATAGTTTGGATATTTGTCCCCACCCAAATCTTATGTTGGATTGTAACTCCCAATGCTGGAGGTGGGGCCTGGTGGGAGGTGTTTGGGTCATGTGAGTACATCCTTCATGGCTTGGTGTTGTCTTTGCAATAGGGAGTGAGTTATGGTGAGATATGGTCATTTAAAAGTGTATGGTGCCTCCTCTCCTCCTTGCCTCCTTGCTCCTGCTCTGGCTATGTGATATGCTTGCTCCTCCATCACCTTCTGCCATGATTATAAGTTTCCTGAAGCCTCCCCAGAAGCCAAGCAGATGCCAGTGCCATGATTCCTACCAGGCCTGCAGAATCGTGAGCCAATTAAACATGTTTTCCTTATAAATTATCCAGTCTCAGGCATTTCTTTATAGCAATGCAAGAACAGCCTAATATGCAACTCATCTTTTATTACCTTTTTGGTCTCCTCCCTCAGTAACCTTGCCTCTACTTAGTAAAACTCACCTGCATACAAGAGGAAGGAAGCTGTATTTGTAATGAACAAGGATGACAATCACTAACAAAATTAAAATCCTCCATCTTAAGATAATTTCCTAAGAATTTTATATGAATAAACTCACTTTATTTAATTCTGTCAACACACAATCTGTGAAGAAACTAGTATTATTAGCCCCATGGCAATTCATGAATGTGTTGGATCATGAACCCAAACCTGTATGACACACTTAGAAAATATAAATTAGAGAAGCATTTATCTTGCTATTGGCTGGCTCTATTTTTTACAAAACAAAACTAAGCAAGAAATTGTTCCAGGCGAGAAGACACTATTTGAGGTTTGAATAATTGACATCGTTATCTGTCAGGTGGCATGAATAAGTCCAGCAGCCATTATAAGGTCGTTAGGAAAAGGGAAGTAATAGGTTCAGAGGCCCAACTGGCTGTGTTGTAATCATAGGAGAAGCAGCATCCTTGACAGGGGCCTTGGGGGAAAATGTATTGAAGCAGTAAGAAGTGTTTAATGACCAAATCAGGGAGGGAAATCAGCACCTGTGCCCCAGTGAGCAGGATAATTTCAGCTGGGGGTGTGGATGAGCTTAGAGACAGGGTCCTTGCCACCTCTTATTTCCCACTTTCTTCCTATTTCTTGATATTACAGCAGCTACAGAAATCTGATAACTTTCAAAAAGATATCTGAGCAAAGATAGAAGCAAAAGAAAGGAACACACTCTCCTTCCATGAATTAAATAAGTTGGCTTGGCTCAAAAGATCGGTGCATCCTAACCTAGCCCCAGGTCCCCTCCCACTACTGACACAAGCTGGTTTTAGGATAAAAATTTTGTACTTTTGTTTACAGAACTCAAACTTTGCTTTGAAGAGGGGTAAGACCTCAGGAACAGAAAGGGAAACAGCCTCCTAATTGAAGCAGAATCTAATTGTAAAATCTCCTTTTCAGTGGGAATCTACATGTTCTGTTTGAATACACCAATTACCTGTGGTCAATTTCCTGCCTAGCAGCCTAGGGAGAGAAGAGCTGGAGAAGAAAATGATATAATGAGAACCAGGCCTAGGACAAGCCTAAGTGCCTCACACAGGAGCATCCTGTTCAGTAGCAAAGAGCTCCTAATTACAACATAGCTGAAAACACCACGGGACTAGGGAGAACCGAATAGATGCCAGCATCCTGAAAAGTTTCTTCTCCATGCTTTTTTACCCACGTCTTCAGCATGATTAGATATTGGTGGTAAAAGTACAATATTTTAGTTACAGCACATTTTGTAAAGTGTCCCTGAAACTTCCTAGCCTGGGTAAGCCTGATTCATTCCTGTTCTAATCTACCCCCAAATAATATTTTTGCAATATATTAAAATCTTCCTCTCCCAAATAGGGAGCATCTTTCAATGCCTGATCTATTTGAGTGATCATTACAACGTTTTTTAAATGATTTTAATGAAAACTCTCCTTTATATTTTCATTATTATTATTGTCTTAGTTGACACATAAAATTCTATATACTTATCATGTATGCCATGGTATTTTGACATATGTACACATTGTGAAATAATTAAATCAAGCTAATGAACATATTCATGACCAGATATATTTATTTTTTGTGATGAGAACATTTAAAATCTACTCTCTTAGCAATTTTCAAATATAGAGTACAGTGTAGTTACCAAGGGCTGGGGGCACAGGGAATGGGGAGATGTTGGTTAAAAGGGTAAAAAGTCCCAGTTAGGCGGGAGGAATGAGTTATAGAGCTCTATTGTACATCATGGTGACTATAGCAAATAATAGTGCATTGTATTCTTGAGGTATTATTATGCCCAGTTTACTAAGGAATACTGAAGCTCAGAGGGTTAGGAAATTCACCAGAAAGCACACAGTTGGTAATGAAAGTTTACATTGATTAAGGTATACCATGTAGCAGCCATGGGGATAAGCACTCTACAAGAGACTATACCACTAAAACCACAGCCATCTTTTAAAGTGAAAATTATCACCATTTTTATCTTTTTCAGCAGATGAACAGTCAGAGACTCAGAGTGATTAAATAACTTGTCCAAATTCATACAAATAGGAAATGATTTGTGGGTAGAATACCGACAGGCTAACTCTGGGGGCCTTTCTCTCGAATTTCAGGCTGACTTGCTAGTTCACAGGAGTGGCTTTGAATAAAGATCTTCTTACTACAAGTGAGGACTTAGCAAGTTAAAATACAATCCTGTTCAATACACAATTGGATAATGTTAGATATAAAAGTATTTAATGTGTGAATCCTCTAACCTGAAGGTTTTTGGTTGTTCTGGTTTGGTTTGTTTTTGGCTGGTGGGAGTGCAAATGTGGAGCTGTTCCGATGCCCTTATACTCATTGACATAATAGAACCTTGGGTGGTTTAGAGACCTCAGTGGAAAATCATGGCTCTCGGAGGAAGAAAGCTAGACAGGAAAAGGTAAAGGGAGAAGCAGTCATATTTGTTGGCACTACTAAGGATTCTGGAAATAACATGTATGTCTAATAGGATCTAATGAATTTGCTTGGTGGGGGATCTGCAATGAGGACCTACTCCCACATTTTCCATGGAAGTGTCAATAAAATTCAGAGTAATTATTGTGTTTGCTACAACTATGTTTCCTTTTTTGGAAAATAAAAGGAAGTAATGAGCTCTGTGTCAAGACTGTTGGGAGCACATGGGGACAACTGATTCTCCCTTTTAAATCAACAGCACAACTGACTCTCAGCCCAATTGAAAGTCGAAAAAAGAGCTAGCAATTGTATTAACTGATCAATTACACCCACAACCCCCACACCCATATATAACACAACTGCTTCTGCCAAGATTTTGATGATGCTGTCTTTAGTTAGCTAACACACGTCTTTCATTCTAACTGCATGCCAAGCATTATTATTATTTTCAAGTATCGAGAATATGACAAACAAAACAGTCAGGATCCTGATCAACATGGAACTTCCACTATAATGAGGAAAGAAAAATGCATAACATAAATAATTTTGGATCCTAATAGATGCAATAAAGACTTGTGGTTTTGATATGGTAAAGAACGACTGAAAGTGAAGAGAAAGTGTTAGAGTGGTCAAGAAAGGCTTTTTAAGAGAAAGAGACATTTGACAACAAGAGGGAAAAGCATTCCAAGTAGAGGGAAGACCAAGTTCAAAGGCCTAGAGATGGGAATTGAGCTTGGTGTAGTCAAGTAGACCAGTGTGGTCACAGCACAGTCAATGGTATGGGAAGCAGGAGGATATGGAATTGGAACTTAGGGAGAGGCCAAATTATGTACTATTGAGTACACAATGATAGGTAGTTTGTACTTTAGTCTTATTGTAACAGATAAGTCATTGGAGAGATAAGACTTAATAAATCCTTTGTGAAAAGTGAACCAGAGATTGGTATGAGTGGAAACAGGGAATTCAGTACTACAAGTGAGAGGCAAGGTGCAAGACAGTTTACAGAAGTTTCATTTAGGATATAAGTTGGTTACAGATGCTAAAAAAAATTTAGCAAAATTGGATGTTGGGTATGAAAAAAGCACAATACTAAGTATGATACCAGGGTTTCAGTTTATCAAACATTAAATTAAACTGAAATTGATGCTTCTGCAAGTTGAAACTGCACTAAAAGTAACATGACCTCATGGAATTGAGTAAGAATTGAGGGCTGGGCACATGCCTGTAATCCCAGCACTTTGGGAGGCCAAGGCAGGTGGATCACCTGAGGTTGGGAGTTCGAGACCAGCCTGACCAACACGGAGACACCCTGTCTCTACTAAAAATACAAAATTAGCTGGGCGTGGTGGTGCATGCCTGTAATCCCAGCTACTTGGGAGGCTGAGGCAGGTGAATGGATTGAACCCAGGGAAGCGGAGATTGCGGTGAGTCGAGATGGCGCCATTGCACTCCAGCCTGGGCAACAAGAGCGAAACTCCATCTCAAAAAAAAAAAAAAAAGAATTGAGATCTGCAAGGCCCCATAAAGTCCTTCAGCCTAGGGCTGCTGATGTGTATTATACATGTCCTGGAGTCCCAACTAGCCAAGGGTAGAAAACCAACCATAATCCATTAGAATGGAGTCTATGATTGGAGAGAAAAGAGCAAAATTCTAGAAATTATCTAACCAGAAAAAAGAGAACCACTTCTTCTAAGTGGCATTTTAGCCACATTAATGTAACACTTGACTCAATAGGAATTAGCATCTCTTTTTCATTCAACTAAGTTCAGGAATAAACTGAGAAAACAATTCCTAAGTGAATGTTATCAGTAAATGTAAAATTCATTATCACAACAGTCCTATGAGGTATCATGTCTTAGTCTGTTCAGGCTGCAATAACAAACTATTCTAGACTAGGCGCCTTATACACAACAGAAATTTATTTCCCACATTTCTGAAGGCTGGGAAGTCCAAGATCAAGGCTCTAGCAGATTCAGCAACTGCTCAGTGCCTGCTTTCTGGTTCATGAACTCCCATCCTCACACTGTGTCCTCACATGTGTGAAGGGACAAGGGAGCTCTCCAAAGTCTCTTTTATAAAAACACTAATCCCATTCATGAAGGTTCTTCCCTCATGTCCTGATCACCTACCAATGGCCTCACTTACTAATACCATCATGTTAAGGGTTAAGATTTCAACATATGCATTTTGTGGGGTCGTGTACATTCAGTCTATAGCACCCCACTCCTTGTCTCCCAAAATTTATGTCCGTCCCACATGCAACATACATTTATTTCATCCTAACATACCCCAGACTTCCAACTTCTTTTAGTGTTAACTCAAAACTCTAAAGCACAAAGTCTCATTAAAATATCAACTAAATCAGATATGAGTGAGACTTGAACTATGATTTAAGCTGGGGTCAGTTGCTCTTCAGCTGTGAACCCATACAACCAAAAAAGTTATATACTTCCAAAATACCTGGGTAAGATGGGCATAGGATAGACGTTTTCATTTGAAAAGGGAAAAATCGGAAAAATAAAGAGGTATCAGATTCCAAATAAATCTAAACTATAAAGCAAATTTCATGAGATCATAAAGCTCAAGAATAATCCTCTTTGGCTCAATGCTATATCCCAGGCCTACTGGAGTAGAGCTCTTGCCTTCCAGACCCACTGGGTCAGGGGTTTAGCCTTCTAGACCCACTGAGGTGGAGGTTCTGCCCCGACAACTCTACTCAGCAGCCGTTATTTCCCCATGGCTCTGGGTGGCCCCAACACCACAGCTCTGTGCAGAGACCTTTTGGCTTGTTGAAAGCAAGGTGGTGGGCTACCCTTTTGAAACTGAGGAGGCATTCCCTGATTATCTGTGAATCACTTTCAGGAGCATTCTTCCCTTGTCTTGAAGAATAGCCCATGTTTTCAGCTGAACAGCTTCTTGGTCTTGTCCTGTAAAATCCAAGAAGTCTGACAGTATTCCTTCATTTCTTCTCATCTCCTTCTCTTGCAGTTCACTTTCCTCCTGGATTTACTTGTTAAGTCTATGGTTCACACCCATACTGATCTTTCTATCAAATGGACGCTCGTTCACACCCTTAGTGTTGTCATTTTTTACAATATGGATAGATTAAGAATTTTCCAAATCTTTAAGTTCCGCTTATGGTTTGCTTAAACTTCTATTTTTTTCCGAAGATTTTTTCTTAAAATTCCATTCCTTTAACATCACTCTTGGTATTAAAATCTATTTTAGCCAGGGTTTTCCAAAGAAACAAGAGGCCTGGCATGGATAAAGAGGTAGGGAGTGTGATGGTTAATATTAAGTGTCAACTTGACCGGATTGAGGGATGCCTAGATGGATGGTAAAGTGTTGTTTCTGGGTGTGTCTGTGAAGTTTTTCCCAGAGAAGAGGACATCTGAATCAGTGGACTGGGAAGGGAAGACCCACCTTCAATGTGGGTGGGTCCCATCCAATGGGCTGCCAGCATGGCTGGAACAAAGCAAGTGTAAGAAAGGGGGATAGGTTTGCTTGCTGAGTCTTCTCACACTCTAGCTTCCTGTGCTTAATGTTTGCTTCCTCTCCTCCTGCCTTTGAACATCAGATTCTAGGTGTGTGGACCTTTGGACTCTGGGATTTTTACCAGCAGCCTCCCAGGGGCTATTGGAACTTTGGTCTCAGACTGAAGGCTACACTGTTTCTGAGGCTTTCAGACTTGAACTAAGTCATGCTACTATCTTTTCTCTTTGCCCAGCTTGCAGATGGCCTATCATGGGATGTTGCCTTGTAGTCATGTAAGCCAATTGTCCTATTGGTTCTCCCCCAGTCATGTGAGCCAATATTCCCTAATAAGCTCACAAACACACACACACACACACACACACACACACAATCTTATTTGTTCTCCCCTTTTGGAGAATCTTGATGAACAGAGAGAGAGAGAGAGAGAGAGATAGAGAGAGAGAGAGAGAAGTTTATTATGAGAAATTGATTCACATAGTTATACAAGCTGATCTGCCACATGATTTCCTACCTGCAAGCTGGAGGCCCAGGGAAACCAGTGGTGTGACTCAAGTCCAAGTTCAAAGACCTGAGAACCAGGGGAGCCGATGGGTGAGTTCCAGTCTGAGTCTGAAGGCTGAGAACCAGGAGCACCAACATTCAAGTGCAGGATTATGTGCATGACCCAGCTTAGGTAGAGAGAGCAAGTTTTCCCTTCTTGCACCTTTTAGTTTTATTCAGGCCCTCAACAGATTGGATGACATCCACCTGCATTGGTAAGGGTAATCTTATTTACTTTATCTACCAATTCCAATGCTAGCCTTTTCCAGCAACAGCCTCACAAATCCAGAAATAATGTTTTGCCAGCTGTCTGGGCTTCCGGTAGCCCAATAAAGTTGATACATAAAATTAACCATCACATATCATTATACCCATGTGTGGTGCTTAATATTGAGTGTCAACTTGACTGGATTGAAGGATGCAAAGTATTGTTCCTGGGTGTATCTGTGAGGGTGTTGCCAAAGGAGATTAAGATTTGAGTCCGTGGACTGGGAAAGGCAGACCCACTCTCAGTCTGAGTGGGCACCAACTAATCAGCTGCCAGTGCAGCCAGGATAAAGCAGGCAGAGGAACATGGAAGGACTAGCTAAGTCCTCCAGCCTCCGTCTTTCTCGTATGCTGGATGCTTCCTGCCCTCGAACATTGGACTCCAAGTTCTTCAATTTTTGGACTCTTGGACCTACACCAGTGGTTTGCCAGGGGCTCTCAGGCCTTTGGCCACAGACTGAAGACTGCACTGTCGGCTTCCATACTTTTGAGGTTTGGGGACTTGGACTGACTTCCTTACTCTTCAGCTTGCAGAAGGCCTATTGTGGGACTTCACTTTGTGATCATGTTAGTTTCGTGGAGACAGAAATAAATGTGATGGTAAGGAAGTGAAGATAAATTTAGTACATTAGGTTTTTCACTGTGTAGCTTAGATAGAACTATCAGCTTTCAAAACAGAACCAAAAGTACAAAGAGCCCGTGGGAATTGTTCACAGACCACCATCCAGTAGAGATCCTGGACCTGGTTTGTGAACTGAAGCCCTGTATCCTCTGGGATGGGTTCTTCCCCTGCTTACTGAAAGATAAAATCATGCAACACATTATTCAGTCACTCAATAGGTCACTTACTCATTGATGTACATAATAATAATAATAAGCATTTATTAAGAACTTAATATATGCCAAGTATTATACTAAATATTTTATATATGCTTTGCTAATTTGATTCCCACTCTAAACTTATGAGTAGATACTATTTTATCCCTATGTTATAAACAATGAGATTAAGATGCAGAGGATTTGAAAACCTTATCCACAGGGACATGGATACACAGTACCAGAGGTGTGATTTGAACCTAGAGTCTTCATTGGGCACCTTCTCTGTGTGAGGGTCTGTGCTTGGTGCTAGGTACTAATCAGACATTGACCAGAAGTGGCCAAGAGTGTCTCTCCTTGTCCCAGTGTAGGTCATTTTTCATGTTCTTTTTCTTTTCCTCAAATACTCTGATTCTTCATTCCAGTCAAAGCCTGAGATAGCTCTTATCCATGGTTCTCCGTTCCCTGTTAGGCATTGCTCAGAGTTCAGTCCTTAGGATTCTGAGGCTTCATTGATTTTTTTTTTAAGCTTAGCAAAGGCATTGTAAACCTTCTCTACCTCAGTTTTATCACTTCATTGTCTACTTCCAACTGGGAAAATCCAAACAGTGCATAAAGAGTTGAAAGTACCAGGGAAAATCGCTCTTTGGAGATAATGTTAAAACTAGGCTAATCACTGATGGGAAACCTTTTGTCTTGTAAGCAAACATTTGATCCCTTATAGTTGTTTCTGTGTTCCTTGTAGTATCTGTTGGCTGGGCACGTGGTGATGCTATTCCCTTATCTGGCTAGTAGGAAGTCACAAATCATTTATGCCAGGGGTTGGCAAACTGTAATCCATGGGTCAATCCAGCTACCTGCCGTCTTTTGTACATAAAGCCTTATTGCGATATAGTCATGCTTATTCATGGGCGGGTGCGGTGGCTCACGCCTGTAATCCCAGCACTTTGGGAGGCAGAGGCGGGTGGATCACGAGGTCAGGAGATCGAGACCATCCTGGCGAACACGGTGAAACCCCGTCTCTACTAAATATAAAAAAAAAAAAAAAAAAAAAAATTAGCCGGGCGTGGTGACGGGCGCCTGTAATCCCAGCTACTCGCGAGGCTGAGGCAGGAGAATGGCGTGAACCCAGGGGGCGGAGCTTGCAGTGAGCCGAGATGGTGCCACTGCACTCCAGCCTGGGCACAGAGCAAGACTCCGTCTCAAAAAAAAAAAAAAAAAAAAAGATATAGTCATGTTTATTCATTTACATGTTGTATGTAGTCACTTATGTTATAACAAAAATGTAGACTTATTGTGACACGGCCACATGGCTTGCAAAACTGAAAATATTAATTATATGGCCCTTTCCAGAAAAAGCCTGCCAATCCCAGCTCAATGCCATAATGATAATATTTGTGAAAGTTTTGCTGATTGTGAAATGCAATGTTGTAAGGACCCTGGCACAATATGGGAAACTGCTTATAAGAAATTCAATCCCTTAGAGGAGATCAGCTTTCTTTAACAACTCACTGCGTGCCTTTGCCTTTGACATACCCATATGACTTTAGCAGAAGTGACAGTCCCTGAGGAATTTCTATGATTGTCCATACTAAATGTTGCATATCTCTGTTGAATAATGTAAAAATACCACAACTGAAGAAAAAGAACGACTTTACTCTATGCCAACTATGTTCCAAGTCTTTTATTTATACATATCATTTTATTCTACCCTTAACTTGGCCAGGTAAAGTGAGTATCTTCATCTCTCCTTTATAAATGATGCTAAGACTAAAATAAAGAAATGTATTCAGGCTACACAGTTAATAAGTGGAAAGGAAAAGCTGTACACCCAAGCACCCAGACCTCTGAAGAACTTACTATTTTTGCTCCAAAGGCTTTTCAGTAATAATGTCTTTCATTTGTGATTTGTATAATTTCAGCAAATTTTCTCTAACACCATGATCCATAGACAGAACTGGCACCACTCTCTTTGTTTAACGAGGGATTTGCAATACAGAGAAAGTCATTAAGTTGCTAAGAAGAAGTGTAACGTTGGGCCGGGCGCTGTAGCTCACGCCTGTAATCCCAGCACTTTGGGAGGCTGAGGCGGGCGGATCATGAGGTCAGGAGATAGAGACCATCCTGGCTAACAGAGTGAAACCCCGTCTGTACTAAAAAGTACAAAAAATTAGTCAGGCGGGGTGGCGAGTGCCTGTAGTCTCAGCTACTTGGGAGGCTGAGGCAGGAGAATGGCGTGGACCTGGAAGGCAGAGCTTGCAGTGAGCCAAGATTGCGCCACTGCACTCCAGCCTGGGTGACAGAGCCAGACTCTGTCTCAAAACAAAACAAAAAAAAGGAAAAGTGTAATGTTTATGTAATTTTAGAGTCTACAAAAAAAAAATTTCAAAACAAGGCGGAGCAGCATAGATTCATTGTTTCAACTTTTATAGATGTGGAAATAGGCTGAGAGACCCAGTAGGATGCTGAAGTTCACACACCTGGCAGTGGTGCGTCTAGGACTTGTAACATTGTTGACTCCAAATTCTTTATTTTTTCTCTTACCTTAGCACATCACTTGGAGCCTACCAGGCCTCAATAGGTCTCTTAGAAGAGACCAAAGACATTTGGCTTGATTTAATGTATCTGAAACATATACTTACTAAAAATCATGGAAGCATACAATTTTCTCTCCTTAATCTAGCAATGCATGCTTTTGTCTGATTATGATATAAATCTTTTTTCTTTCTGGAAAAGCTGTGCAACCCATTTACAAATGTGGCTCTGTTGGCACGACCCAGTGTTTGTACCTGAACCCTTTACTGAGTTTCAGTTTGAAGACAGGCAGAATCATCATCTCTCAACAGAATCTATTTCCTATGAAAGTAGACACATAAGTGAGCATTTTGCTCCATAAGAATAGGCATGTAAGGAGTGCCTGGGAGAAACCTACATTATCCTTCTCATTAAATTTCCTCAGGCTGTTTAGGGTACTTGTGGAGGTTTCAGGCTGCAGGACATTTTCTTTGTCACATTTTGTTTTTGAATTCAGTTCTACACAGAACAAAAGTTGATTGAGTACACACATTGTGCAACATATTGCATTAGGTCCAGCTTGGGAGACAAAAGCAAATCAGACATAGTCACTGCTGACTAGCATCCCACCACCTCTGTGGAAGCAAAGAAGATTTGGAGAGACACTCAGAGTCACATGGCAAGGGAGGTAAATAATAACAGTTTTTATGGTATAAAATGTGGTGGGAAAATAAAGAAAAACAGTCATTTTGTGGGTTGAAGGTCATTAGCTTAGGTTATAGTCTTAGAAGTGAGTAAACTGCTTGCAGACGGAGGTGAGGATGACATTACAGGTGCAGAATCAGTGAGACCATAGAGTCAACAAGTGCAGGTATGACGGAGGATGCTAAGTAGTCCCTTGTGACTGTAAAATTCATGTACACAGGAAACGTTTCAAGTGATAAGATTAGAAAATCAAGCTGCGGCTATTAAAGAGCCAACGATGCCATGCCATGCTAGGGAGTGAGACTGTCTTTTGTAAGCAGCTCATGATTTTCCACAGGCAACTACTGTACCCAGTGGCCCCTCACACCCATCACACCATGCAAATGGCCTATCTTCTACTGCACGGCACTCGCATGAGTATATTCCATGTGACTTCCCAGATCTGTCCTCTGTCTTTCTCTTTCCTGCTTATGAGCCTCTACAGACTGACCTTTACAGGCTGGATCACATAAACTCCCTTGCATTCAAGCATCCCGTTGGGTGGGACCAGTATAAGGCACTCTCTGTAGACAAAGGGCTTAGTTCCACCTTATCCCTCTTCTATTCCCATCGCTCCTTAGCTATGGCTTGACATTGGTTACAATATTCTATGCAAGATGGAACAGCTATGTTCACTCAGCATCCTGGATTGCTTAGGAATGAGAAATGTCTCAGGATGCAGGACTTTCAATAATGAAACTGGGATAGCTCTGGGCAAGTCAGGAAAGTCCCCAGCCAACTCCTATCTGGTGGCCTCCCTCACACAGCCACAGTTCAACTACATCTTCAAGGGTCTTACTGAATTCTGGTAATTCCCTCTTGCCTCTCCAGGCCTGTGGGAGATGATGGCTTCCCTCAATTGATAGGGTCTGGGATCTTCATTATTCCTCATTAATTCCCTGTGTTGTGCCTACACTTCAGGAAACAGTCTCTTCATTTTATTCTTTTCAGACACTCCTTTGAAAGTGATGTCTGTTTCCTGCAAGACTTTGATAATAGTAATAAAGTAAAAAAAAATTTCCATAATCTGTCTCATGCTTAACTGAGTCCACCACCTTTCCTCATCTCTAACATCAGGAGAAAAGCATTTCCTTCATCTGGCTCCTGAATGAATAGACAATACAGTGAATAAATAAAGAATGGGCTTTTAAACAAGATCTGAGCTCTCAGTTTTTATAGCTTGACGACTGAGTGGGCCTGAACAAGTTAGTTCATCACAATACGTTATTTGTTCATTCTATGGGGATAGCCACACCCATGGCACGGGAATTAAAAAAGTGAACCAACATTTAATATATAAAGCCATGCCTCAACATATAACAGCCAATTTTAGCTCCCTTCCTGTTATAGAGTATGTTTAATGAGATCACTGATTTGGAAAGACAGCTAGCATTTATGGATATTTAGGGTATAGGCAGATTGGAGGAGAGTACAAACATATCCATACAAAACAACAACAACAACAACAACAACACATTAATTGCAGATCAGCTATGTGGTGAGCATTGTTTTAGGTGGTAGTTCTTTTGACGTCTGTTCAGTGTCCACCATATGACAGACACCACACAGGGGTGTTACTCTACAGCCACACATGTCTCTTCCATTCTTCCAAGCATGCCAGGCAGGTTCTTGTCTTTTAAATATTTGTACTTGCTGCTTCCTCTCTTTGGAATGTTCTCCCTCCAGATATTTAAGTACTACTGTCTTCCCTTCATTCAGATCTTTGTTCCAATGAGACCACTGCAGAAAGAGTCCCAAGAGCACTAATCAAGAATAAAAATCTGGGTAGGCGTGGTGGCTCACCCCTGTAATCCCAGCACTTTGGGAGGCCAAGGCAGTCCAATCACCTGAGGTCAGGAGTTCGAGGCCAGCCTGGCCAACATGGCAAAACTCTATCTCTACTAAAAATATAAAAATTAGCTGGGCATGGTGGTGGGCGCCTGTAATCCCAAGCTACTCGGGAAGCTAAGGCATGAAAATTGCTTGAACCCAGGAGGCAGAGGTTGCAGTGAGTCTAGATCAAGCCACTGCATTCCAGCCTGGGTGACAGAGAGAGACTCCATCTAAAAACAAAAGAAAAAGAAAAAAAGAATAAGAACTGCTCCTTATCATTTCCTACCCCTGACTTCATGGCACTTGCATTTACTTGGCATTATATTTTCCATTTATTTGTTTGTTTATTGTCTCTCTCACCCACTAGAAGTAAGCACAATGGAGGTGAAAACTTGGTTTTGCTCCTTACTAACCCCATCACCACATGAACAGGGCTTTGCACGAAGTCTATACACAATAAGGCTTTGTTAAATAAAGAACACAATGCTAGAAATTAGGAGCACAAAGATGAATATGATATAATTGGACCGTTGTGGCTCTGACAGCCTGGTAGAGGTAATACATTAGAGTTTGGGAGATATAAGACAGGAGAGGAACTAATGACCTGAACAACTCTGTAAGCCCGGCTAAGAGATTTTGACATTTAAGAGACAAGAGCCTGTTTAAATATCTCTTTTCTTATCAAATGGAGAGGGCAGTCTTGAATATGGAAGATTCAATTAAGCCTGGCAAATCCATCTTTCATTGATGATCTCTTGAATGAGAGGGACCTAGCTGTAGCCAAATGAACAAGAGTGTAAGGGGACTGTGAAACTGACTTACAGTTAACTGATGTTTCAACATGGGGAAGCCAATGAATATTTGAAGAATACCAGTATGTGAGTTTCCACATGTGCAGTGTTCTTGTTGGCTCCCTGCATGTGTGCAATTTACACGCTTGAAAGCTCATCCTTTCATTTTTGGAAAAGACAGCTTAAAGAGATGCCCTTTTATCCATTTGACCCTTGCTTTATTTATAATTAGATATGAAATGTGCTCTGCATAATATCCCACTTATTCTCACCAGCCGTAATCTATCCAAGGAATAGCACACATGATGTATACAAAAATGCAGTGCAATGCATCAAGACTAAAAGTTCTGGAACCATGTCTTGCTCCTCCAAGGGCCAGCTGTGTGAATGAGGGAAGCCCATTTTTACCTTTGCATATCTCAATTTCTTTATCTCCATAACTGAGGTGTAAATTTTACATGAATATTTGTGAACTTGTTTTGTGAAGTATAAAACAGATTTCTTTACAAGAGTTTATAAATCCCAATTGTATTTATGGTTGCACATGCTTTGAAGGTACCAAAAATATGGAATAAAATTAGATATATTGTGTGTATGCACACAAGTATATATTTTTTTTCTGGGTTTGGATACTAACGACATGTAGGAGCTAAAGATTTTCTGAGATTCTCAAAGCATTCCTAACCCACCAAAAACAAAGCCTCCCTGCTGCAAAATAGTATAAAAAACAGGGGATTTGGAGCAGCTAGAGTAGTATCATTAACTTTGGTTACTAAAAAGAACAAAAGCCAATTTATATAAATTAGTCTTAAGAATTCCTTGGGTTATTGCTCAGTTTTCTCTTCTTGTTGTATAGCTAGTCAGAAGTTGTGGAAAGCAAATTACATACCAGTGAGCTTATTTAGAAAGGTGGGTTCTAATTCCGACCAACCAATACATTAAATGAGTCATGTTGCTAACCAAGGTAATCACAGAAATACCTGCGTGCCTTCTTTTCCCTCACTTCTTTATGTCTATACTTGTGTTCACTACCAGTCATGTTTTCTTGGATGATTTGAAATCTTTTGAGCACATCCAGCTTAATTGTTACCCTAAGAGCTTATTGGATTAATCATTTTATAAGGATGAACTAGTCAATTCAGCAAAGGCAGTTGTTGGACTTTGTATACTTACATCCCTAAAACTAGCCAGTTTTGAGTTTTGGGGATGAGCTGTTATCTTCCAGTGGCTTTAGGTTTTCCCACGTATAAGATGAAGGGTTTTAATGAGTTTCCTGTTTTCACCCACTCTTGAACAACAAATCACCTTCTATGACTTTTCCACAACTTTCTGCCACCTGCTCTTATTCTGTGTTCTCTCTGTCTTTGTTCAAAATTGCTTCCTCCAGCTGGATTGCATGTCCGCCTTCTCTCCACCTATGGAATTTCCAATCCTGTAAACTTAAGTCAAATGCTTTCCATTCACAATGCTTTGCTCTTTTTGCTGGATTATCCGTAATGTGTAAAGTTTACCTCTCTTTTTCAAAGTTCCTGTACATACTAAATGCTCAATATATGGTTATGCTACCCTTATGTACAAGAGTAAATCAACCTAGATATCTGTCTGTCACAATAAATGGAGCCTCGACATGCTTAATTATTCAGAGTTATTAGCGAGACAACAAAGCCTAGAACCTATGTCTCCTAATTTTAGTATGTCTGGTCAGAAAGGAGGTACTATGACTTATTATCTAAACAGAGAAGAACATGCAGAACTGAACCAAGAGGAATGAGATGTTTGGGAAACTAATCCAGTTGTGTGTATCAATGGTTCAAACAAATGGGCCGGCCTTGGGGTGAAGTATCAGTGCTAATGGAAAGTGAGATGCTTAAAGGAGAAAAGTCAGCAAGGCAATGAAGAACTATTATGAGATTGAAGAAACTCACGTCCATAGACTGGGTCAATAAGGTGAGGGGCAGAGAAGGCAGAAACATAAAGCATTCCTGGGGAAAAAAAAAAAAAAGCATGGGCCATGGTTTGAGTCCATGCTCTTCCCATTAGGTGCCGGGTGGTGGTGAGCACATTGTTTCATGTCTCTAAGCCTCAGTTGTCTTGCCTGCAAAACAGAGATAAACATACATACCTCAGCTCCTAGCTTTGAAAATTAAATACTATAAATGTATGTGGCACAGCTCAATATCTTGCATAGAGCATATGATAAATGAATAGTTGCTTTTATTATTATTGTTGCTATTTTCCTTATTCTTGGAATAAAAAAATTGTCAATAACATTTACTTCTATTTGGAACGTGATGATAGGGTGGAGTTATTGGCAGGTTCCCATCACACACAAATTTTCCCCATGAACTGGAATGAACTTGAGTGGCGTAGGGGTACATGGGTTGGCCCATCTGTAGATAGAGTTGTCAGCATGTGGCACAATGATGGTAAAAGAGTTGCATAAGGGCCTATTCCAGCCGAAGACTTGTGCCATTATATCCTGCAAAGTGTGTTGCAAAGCCTTGATCTCCATGGTAACCTCTCCCTAAACAAGCACACCAACATCTGAGATTCTTATTTTAAGCAGTAGCTATTTTTCTCCTTTTTATTCATCTCCCTAGAGTTATAAACTTCTGTAATGCATGATAAGTTGCATCTACCTAATATCATCGACAAACTATTCTGCCAGGAAAAGAAATACCCAATGAAAGCAAATCAATGGGCCATGGAAGTAGCTCTTCCCAGCAGTGACCTAATCTGCCTGTTTCAAAAGAAGGTGAGGAAACTGTAATTCAGTAGCAAGCCAGGATTACTGGAAGTGATCATTTGATTTGCAGCACTGCCTTTGTGATCTTGTCATAGAGGCTATAATGACATAGACTCTGACACAGGCAGAAGGATAAATTGTAATGGACCATGATGTTTGCCTGCAGAATTAATCTGCTCAATCATGTCTCTAAACCTCAATTTCCTCATCTGTGAAATGGTAAGAATGATAGTTTCCCGAACTATCTGAAGAGGTTGTCTATTTGTTTTTAGGATATTCTAGGTGAAAGCTTTTATACACTTTACATTGCTGTGTAAAATCTAAGGTCTCATTATGCATCGTTCTTTGATACCTGTTTAATTTTTGGCAGGAGTGTAAAAACCAAAGTCGCCTCTTCTTTGTCTTTCTTGCTTCCTTCAGCTGAGAGAACTGCTAAGCAGGGAAGAGCATAAACATTTATTTAGCACACTAAAGGCAAGAATTTAATCTGCTTTGTTTGCTGCAATAACCTTAGCCCTAGAGTAGAAATTAACTCATGTATACATTCATTCAGTTTCCTGTATGTATACATTTTTATCTTGGTTTGGTTTCTATAGGGGCAGACTCTAAGACAAGGCTATGATGTAAATAGTTCATTGGGAAGTGGTCTTAGGACACACCAGCAGGGAAACGGAGAGTGAGTCAGGGAAGGGAAGGCACCAGTGAAAGGTATATTGAGGATAAAGCAAAACCTGCTGTTGTCATGTAGAGCTTGGTCCTGCTGGGGAACCATGGGAGTCAACAGGGGACACACACCTCCAAAGCATAGTGGAGCTGCTGGAGTACCAACCCCCTACTCCTACTCATCATTTGAGTGAGGGCTTCTCCCAGGCACATTATTCCCCCAAGAGTTCTCTCCACCCCTCACATACACAGAAGTTCTGCAGCCAGAGAATGACCACTGGCAAAGAATTATAGGTGCTGGCAGCTGGAAGTTGGGCTGGCCTCACAAAAATAGTAAGAGGTTATGGACAGGGCACCACTGACATCTGCTTCAATTGTTTATCAGGAAGTCTGTGTAAATCATCTTAATTTCTGTGATTCAGATTGAGTGTTTTGTTATTCAATGATTCTAACAGTGATCTATAATTTGATGTTAACATTTTAATTAATGTTGGATGTAGGAGAAAGAAAAGATGAAGAGGCAATATCTCGATTGCTATGATGTTGGACCATCTGATGCTCTGATTTTTATTTTTAAATTGTGACATGTAATACAAGCAGTCTGTGGTATGTTGTGACTAAAGATCATGGTGTTTTGGTGAGAAAAACAAAAATAGAAAAAAATGCAAAAAGGGCGTTAGATTTGGGTTGAAATGCTTTCTTTGTCGTGAACTGATAAATGATTGTAGACGATCTCTCCTCTGTTGCAAAGTTAGAATCTTGAGCCAGGACAGAGACAATAATTACATTTCAAGGCATGTGCCACATCTGCAGCATTGGGGGTGGCTGCATCAAGCACCCTGTTGGGAATATTGACACTGTGTTCAGGTTTGTAGTAAACCAGCCCCATGTTTTTCTGCTGATGTTGACAAGGATCTTTGAAAGACTGTGCCTATGCCATCCTAGTTCTAGGTGCTTGCTATATATAGTCACTGCAAACTTCTTTCACCCTGTCCTGTCTTCTCTTTTTCTGTAATAATCAACTTAATCATAGACTGAGCTATTTTAAAACTCTCAAATGTAAAAAAAAGAATGCAGTTAGCACTCACCAAAACTATACTTGTATCATACCCTCTTCCCTTGAAAGTTTGAAAATCCCATGTAAGCTAACAGTGCTCAGGATCACGAATCCATTCAGAAAGCATCATTTCTGGCCGGCCGGGGTGGCTAACACCTGTAATTCCAGCACTTTGGGAGGCCGAGGCGGGCTGATCACGAGGTCAGGAGATCGAGACCATCCTGGCAAACACGGTGAAACCCCGTCTCTACTAAAAATACAAAAAATTAGCCGGGCATGGTGGCGGGCGCCTGTAGTCCCAGCTACTGGGGAGGCAGAGCTTGCAGTGAGCCGAGATGGCGCCACTGCACTCCAGCCTGGGGACAGAGAGAGACTCCGTCTCAAAAAAAATAAAATAAAAAAGCATCATTTCTGTGTGGTTGTATAGAAGAGGAGGTTAATACTGATTACCATTTCATGACAAATAAACAAGCTATTATTACACATAGAGGCAAAGGCAAGAATTTGAAAAGAATATACAGCATAATATAATGAAACGGAGGTTATAAAACTCCAGGAAACATGATCCAATATCTTGTACACTCGCTGAATAATTACACTGATTTACAATTTTAAGTAGACTTTTGCATGCATTTTCTTATATAGTCCTTAAATAAACATGAAGATAAATAACAATGTAAGCCCAGAGAAGGTGTGGTCGTGTCTCTTTTACCTAATATTATATCCCCACCACTTATCAGAATTTCAAATGTAATTTTTAACCTCAGTAAATATTTGTTGAATCAAAGTCTCATTTTCCTTTTTCTAGACAAGATAAAATATTTTTCTCAGATCACACGTCTTGTAAACAGAAGAAGCATGGCTTTACCACAGACTTTCAATGTATGTACCAGATACTCTGCCTGCACGTATTCACAGTTAATTCTCAGGACCATCCTGTCAAAATTGCATCATTTATTATTTATCTCCTCAATTAGATTGTAAGCCCTTGTCCATCTTTGTCACAGCTGATACCTTACTACCTAACTCAATGCCTTAGATATAGTAGGTGATCAAAACCTAATTATTGAAAGAATTCCTATTTGAAAATTTAAACAAAAGGAAAACAAAAATTTAAAGGACTTGATAAAAATCACATACAGAATAAATGATAGCTTGTCTAGAATCCAATGCTCCCTAAGTACAGATAGAATAATAAAGAGGATAATTTGAGGGCCATTTACTGATAAGCATTATCATATCAACATGCAACAGAATTTTAGCTACCCAAGTTCAGGTACTGTCTGATTTTGGATATTAAAGAAACAATGCTTTCAAAACTATCAGCTGCTAAGTAGTTGGGAAAAAAAAACTTTTTAAAAAATTGCTCAAACATTCACTGTGAGTCAAAACACTATCAATTTGGGGTGACATATGTTGCCTTTCAAGGTGATCTCTGGCCTTATTGAGCCTAATGGATGGTGATTCCAAATGTCAGATTTTCCTCTTTCTCACTTGACCCTTGGGTTTCAGAGTGAATTACATTTATCACAAAAAGGTCAGCAAATGCTTTGAAGTAAAATGTGTACAGAGAAGAAGGGAAATTTAATGGTTAATAGAAATTGACTTTTCTTTATACTGAAGCATAAGCATGTTATCTGTAAGCATGTCAGGCCAAACTTTTTGCTTTACAGAAGAAAAACAGAGCTAAAGCCCTCCTAAACAAATACATGCATCAATTGAGTATATCTAAACCTAAGCTGATCCCAATAAGATCAGTTCCTTCTGAACTTATGCTACATAATTTTTCCCCAAGAAAATTAGTAGCACATGCCCCCATCCTCTTGGCCTACATCCCCTTCGCCCACCTTTTGGTTTCAGTCATGGTTGTTAGGGACAATTCAGGTTCACTTCCAGCGGGGAGGTCCCACCTTAAGCAGGATTTGCCTATCTCTCTGTCATGCCCTGAAGACTTCTACACTCCAAAAGAAATAAGCCTAAAAACAAGAGAAAGTGGAAGAGTCTATGTTCTGGTATTAATGGATAAATGTTTTAGACTCTCATCTTTCAAAGAGATCAATCTATGATGTGTGTGTGTGTGGCGGGGGGGGGGGGGCGGCAGGGGGGTTCAATTACCAGAACTGGGGTACAGAATAAAATTCCAGGAACAATTGTGAAGACACTGATTACATGTCTTCAGGATATACTAAGTCCTGGGTTTATAAAGATTACCCGAGATGGCCCTTAAATTGTAAGAACTCAATATCCAGTAGGTGACAGATATCTGAAAATATATATCCCTTTGTTGTGTTAGCAAACTATTCCTCTGAAAACATGGGTCAGAAGTCAAGTCTTTTAGAAAGGTTCATCTGACACCCTTCATCCAGAATCTTCATGTTCAAATGTCCTCACCAGATGTTTTTGCGTTTATGAGTATATGTTTGTCTTCTTAATAAAAGGTGAGCTCCTTTAAAGCAAAGACCCTGCTTTATTCAGCTCTGTATTCCCAGAACTTGTACCCATCAGGTCCTCAATAGAGATTTGATTTAGGGAATAGTATGTAATTCTATATTCTTGAAATATCTAACAAAGTTTCTTGTACATCAGTACCAAATTCTCATATCTTAGCCAAATATTTTATTTCTTTTTTATTTTAAGGCAAGCAGATGTTGATTCTTTCTATTGCTACTCCTCTGGCCAACTTCTGTATCTTTGCAGTTTCCACAAATAAGCCTATCTCCAGTCATCTAAAACCATATGTGTTTTTAGTGTTCTTGGAGAACAGTAGATTGAATTTCTGACACTGTACCTTGGGCACCCTTAGAATTCAAAGCTCCCATGGAATTGACTTTGATGCCTGCAATTTCCAATAAACAAACTCTTGAACAAGATAGTAAGTAATGCCAACCACAAAAGAAGAGGATAACAGGTTGACTGCCAAATGCTGCTATGAAGTAACATAAAACAGAACAGCTGGCCCCTAGGCTTGTGGCAAGGTGGGTGGCATAGCTAAGCAGGATCATTTTGCAATTTCTCCCTCATGTAGCAACATTAATGCTATCGTGTCCCTATGTCTTCATCTCCTCGCACCATTGCTCTTCTCTTCCCTCCCATACCCACTCACCATAATAACTACATGTAGTCAAACACAAATACAGCCACCTGGCCCACTGAACCTTTGATGTGCACTTTCAGCCACATGTTTTTCTCCTAATGTCACTCATCAATCACAGCTGGATAATGTAGGGGGCAAAATCATATTGCCTTTTGGGAGCTGGATGTGTGTCCCATGTTTCCATGGGCTGGCTGTGGATCATTTTATTTTTGAATGAAGGAAGTCATCCTGAACGCAAATTCATTTCTGGTAATTGCTTTTTAAAAAATATATCACAATATGCCGGAGGATGTATTTTTTGTTTGTTTATTTTCCTTCTGCAGGTTCCATTGCTTTTAAATAGATTTTGAGTTCTGCATCTTTAAGTTTATTTCCTGATTTTGGTCAGGGACTTTTACAGAGAGCACTGCTGTATTTGTTTAGGTGGGAGGAGCTTGAGGGCAGGTAAAGACAAGATCCTTGGTCAGACAGAGAGCTATAAAAAAAATGCACTCATAGACAAGATCTATTTTGCCTTTCTCAAAAACCCTGTTAGATCAGAAAATTAAGTTTTATTATAATGCTTTATAGATGAAGATCTGACACTGGGAGGTTGAAATGGCTGGTCAAAGTCATACCCCATGGAAAGCTGTGTATCTTGCTTGTATTATAATCGAGTCCTACCTCCTGTAAGTCATTTTTCAATAAACTAACAAAAATGTTACACTAATAAAATAGTTACATTAAAAAATAAGAAAGAAGAGCCATTAAACAATTAGTACCAGTTACTATCTGTACAATTTCCTATGTTATTTTTTATTTCAATTTTTATTTTTAATTACTAGTAATAATTATATATATTTATTTGTTATAATATGGTCTTTTGATATATGTATACAATGTAGAATTATTATATCAAGTTAATTAACATATCCAAGTTAATAATAATGTATATTTCAAAATTACTAAAAGAATAGATTTTAAAAGTTCTCACTATGAAAAAGAAGTATATGAATAACTAAAATATATGATAAATATTTTAGTTAGCCTGATATAATCCTGTAAGTTATTTCTAATGCTCATTTTAACATGAGGAACATTATAAATGAAGAAAATAAGGAACTTGTTCAAAGTTCCATTGTATTCAATGCATCTGTGCTTAGATTAATTTAACTGTGACCAAATTTAATG
This sequence comes from Homo sapiens, assembly GCF_000001405.40. Lineage (NCBI taxonomy): Eukaryota > Metazoa > Chordata > Mammalia > Primates > Hominidae > Homo > Homo sapiens. The sequence goes on along the minus strand of NC_000008.11, from coordinate 136,269,377 downwards.
CTGATATCCTTTCACTTCATTGCCACTGACTTATAGTTTCACAGCTAATGATCAAGTTTAGTGAAGATTAAGTATTAAGTAGAAACCAATGAGCCTAGAACCTAGAGAACAGAGACGATAACAAGGGTGTTGTTTGATTTTGATTTAGTCAGCAAAATAAAAGGATTAAAACACAAACCAGAGGAATAGAAGACCAAAAATAATTAGGCACAGTGTTAGCAATTAGCCAGTGATTTTAAACTGGGGAACTATTCTCCACATGTTGGGAATAAGTAGACAGATGATGTAAGCCTCAGCTTGGGTTTTTTATTAGTTTGTTCTCAAGCTGCTATGAAGAAATACTCAAGACTGGATAACTTATAAAAGAAAGAGGCCTAATTGTATCACAGTTCAGGGTGGCTGGGGAGGCCTCAGGAAACTTACAACTATGATGGAAGGGGAAGCAAACATGTCCTTCTTCACATGGTGGCAGCAAGGAGATGTGCAGAGCAAAAGGGGGAAGGCCCCTTATAAAAGCATTGGATCTCATGAGAACGCACTCACTATTATGAGAACAGCAGCATAGAGTAACCACCCCCATGATTTGATTACCTCCCACTGGCTCCCTCCCATGACTTGTGGGGATTATGAGAACTACAATTCAAGATGAGATTTGGGTGGGGACCCAGCCAAACCATAACAGGTTTCTATACCAAAATACTATAGTCTGGGTGGCTGAAACAACAGATATTTATTTCTCACAGTTCTGGAAGATGGAAGTCTGAGATCAGGGTGCCAGCATGGTTGGGTTCTGGTGAGGGCCCTCTTCCTGGCTTGCAGACAGCAGCCTTCTTGCTGTGTGCTCACGTGACCTCTTTGTGCCAGCTCAGGGAGAGATCACTCCCTTTCTCTTCTTACAAGGGAACTAGTCCCTTCATGAGGGGCCTATTTACCTCCCAAAGGCTCCATTTCCAGATACCATCACATGGGCAATGAAGGCTTTAACATGAATTTTGTGGGGACACAAACATTCAATTCATAACACAGAAAACGATATAGGAAAACTTAGTGGGAAATCAGATAGAGACTTAGTAGAGAAACATTATGCAATCAGGAGATAACTTGCTTCAGAAAGTACTGAATCCAGGTACTAAAATCCTCAATAGAAAACATACACTCTTTCTCCTCCTCTCAAATTGGCATCTCTGGGCTCTGCTTATCTTATCTGTGGCCTCATTTTCCCCACCTGCAACTGGGTTTTTAACTTTATTCCAAAAAACATGCACTGTGACACCCCCTAACTTGCACTCATTGAGCTTTCAACCTAAGGAACAAGTACTTTGTTACCTCCAAATTGAAGAACCCAGAAAAAGAGCTTTATTTGCCTAGTTTGATTACAGGTACAACCCAGGACTTACATGCTGAGATAAGAGAAATGAGTGGCCAATGAGAACTGGGTCATAAACCCAATCTAGGGTAGGAGAGTGAGATTCTATGATTGGTCATCATTTTATAATCACATTATTGTACATAGTTGCCCAGAAGAATGAGTTTCTAGATGGACAAAATTAACTAATGTGCACTACAAAAATGTCCTAATATAGTTATAGATGGGTGAGAAATGGAAATAACATAGAGTATGAAAAAAGAGAGGACTGGGAATCAGGTAATCTGAGGTCTCTATTCTCTTACTTTCTATATGTGAATAATTATTTTTTTTTACCTCTCTGGATTTCAACTTAACTAACAATAACATGAGGAATCCCAAAGTTACTGTGCATAAGAACTGCTTTGGAGATTTTTTAAAAGTGTATGTTGCCAGAATGTCTTGACGGGAAAACTCTATGTATTTAGTGGTAGGAAACAATAAAAAACAATTATCTCTTGGCTATCACTCAGGGACCACTAAACTGGATGACCTCCTTGGGCCTTTCTTGTTTTAATACTTGATGATTATAAGTGACAGAGAGGGAGAGAGAGAGAGACAGATGGAAACAGAAAGAGAGAGAGAGAGACAGAGACAGAGAGACTGAGACAGAGAGGATGTGGAATAAGATGAGGATGAGGATTAAGAACATATGCAGTTTTGTAACTGACTCAAGAGATAGCTGTAACATGTGCCACTCAATAATCCCAATAAAGTCTCTGCTTGCTGATACAGTGAAAACCTGCTACACGCTTTCAAGCAAAGAAGATTCTCAAGACTTTCCAAATAAAGAGCTATGGGCTCATTCTGCATGCAGACAATATCATCAATGGAAACACACCACAGAAATAGACTACTCCCCATGGTTTCCTGCCCTCCAGCTTTCGTAAAGTCATAACAGATGCTCGACAGCCGTACACAGTCCTAGACTGGTAGCAGCTGTGCGTTGACTCCTGCTAATTAAGCCACCTATCACCTGACCAACAGTGCATCCCACATTGGGATTGCTCTAGGAGAGGCAACAGTCACACTAATCATTCACCTTGAATGGGGAAGATTTCAGGAACAAAACAAGTTTTCTTCTGGCACTGTCTGCTCCTACAGGAAAGACAACAAGCCCCACATGGAAAGCAAGAACACAGTTTACTGGGGATTAGTGTCATAGCTAGTTTTCAGTGTGAAAATAAATAGCTTAGGAACCATTTAGTTAAGGCATTCTCAACTAAAATATGCATGTGAATTATTTGTGGGTCCTTTGAATTACAGATTCCTGGACCCCAAGCTAGATCTTCTGAATTAGAATCTCATAAGTGTGGACAGTATGTAAACTTACATAAATCCTTAGTTTCCTCCAATCTGGTTAAAAATGACTGCTGCAGAAGAATCCCCGCCTCTGTAACAAATAAGAACACTGACGTTCACTTTAGTATGGGATTGAGACTAGGACTCACACCTTTCAAAAATTAAAAAGAGAATACAGGGGAAAGAAAGGTAAGATGAAAAATGGTGGGCTGCATCTATTGAGTTGCAGTTTTTCTTAAGGGGAACATCACACACCGGGGCCTGTTGTGGGGTGGGGGGAGGGGGGAGGGAAAGCATTAGGAGATATACCCAATGTAAATGACGAGTTAATGGGTGCAGCCCACTAACATGGCACATGTATACATATGTAACAAACCTGCATGTTGTGCACATGTACCCTAGAACTTAAAGTATAATAAAAAAAGTTAATTTAAAAATCTGTATATAATTTCAGATAGAATAAAAATACAGTAAAGGTAATGAACATCAGTTTGAAATTACACGACTGTTTTATACCATAGCCTCATTTTGTACAATAATATAAAAACAAACAAACATATCTAAAAGTTAATAGTAGTTCTTGGAGAGAATTACATGGGTTTGAATTTCAACCCCATCCCTTTCTGTGATATCTGGTGCTAGTTAACTTCAGAGTCTTCATCTACAAAACTGGGATAATAGTGTTGCCTACTTTATAGAATGGTGAGGTATACTTTTTAGCAAACCGTAAATGAAAAGAACATTATTCAGTGCTTGGCATGTGTTTGGCAAGTGTCATCTGTGATCATCGTTCCTGGAAAACACGTTTCTGCATACAGTAGATACCAATGTCTAGAGCACCCAGGGCTAAATCCTGACCATGCCATTTATTAAATGCCATGATTGACTTGCAAGCTCTGGTCAAAGGAGGGGGATAGAGCAATTATAAGTCTGAAGGAGGCTGGTAGAGTGGAAACTGCAGGCCAGGAGCCAGGAGCTGTGATGCTTTGCTCCACAAAGTGTAGACCATGATGCTTCAAGGAGCTTCAGCATTACTTGGGAGCTCATTAAAAAGCAAGAATCTCTAGCCCCACCCCAGACCTATGGATTCAAAATCTGCATTTTAACAAGATCCCTAGGTGACTCATAATACAGTAAAATTTGGGAAATACTGCTTTAATGGTTCAGATCCCGGTAAGGCAAATGCTGGAGAAACAGTGTAACTCAGAGCAAAAATTACAAAACAAAAATAGAATTCTCCAATGGTGGGTAAAGACAGTTACAGGGTAAACCCATTGACAGGTAACTGACAGGTAATTTCACAGAGACAGCGCCAGTAAATGGAATTCTGGAAGAGAAGTTTTTACTATCCAAGACTGTTCTTCAGGGTCAGTTCACTTAAAAAGCTCTGTATTCCCAACCAGAGAAGTCAAAATACTGAGCAAACTTAGAAAAACGTAGCTGACTTCATGCATCAGAGGCAAGATGAGAAGTTAAAGAAAAATCTCTGAGTTGCATGTTGTTTTGGGTAAGAGAAAAGCTGAGAGATCAGGGGAAGAAGAGTTGAAGTAGTAGAAGAAGATGAAGGTCTGGGCACCCTATCCCTTTTGTACATGAACTGGGAAGCTCTATGAGAAACTCAGCTCTTCTTAAGTCTGGAGGCACCTCACCATCATCAGGCAAGCTTCACACACACACACACACACACACACACACACACACACACACTGTGCTTCACACTCCCAGGAATTCTGTGTAATGATCAGGAAGAAGATGCTGGCTTCTATTTCCCTAAAACTTCCCTCAGGTGATGCTGACGCCCAGTTCAAGTGAGAAGTGTTTTCAGGAGTGAGAGAAGCCAATTTAAAATAAGACATCTACAAAAATAAGTCATCAGCAAAGATAAATCAGAGCAAAGCTGGTAGAATAAACAACAGAAGTAAGAGTGTAAATAGACCAAAGACCAGAGAAAGTCCATTGACTCAGTTGTGGGGTTCCAGGAGCACTGCTCTTTCTTGGGCTTAAAAATAATAATTTGTGTTCATGTGTGTTTCACATAAGATGAAACATGAATTTCTAAATACCATATGGAATGAGCACAAATTTGTTAAAAGTTCTATAATATCACTACTCAAAGAAGTTCTATAAAATTATTATACATAGTGGAAAAATTAAAACTGCCTTGAATTATGCAAAAAAAAAAAAAAAAAAAGAGGCCGGGTGCAGTGGCTCACACCTCTAATCCCAGCATTTTGGGAGGCCGAGGCAAGTGGATCACGAGGTCAAGAGATCGAGACCATCCTGGCTAACACGGTGAAACCCTGTCTCTACTAAAAAACAAAAATTAACTGGGCATAGTGGCGGGTGCCTGTAGTCCCAGCTACTCGGGAGTCTGAGGCAGGAGAATCGCTTGAACCTGGGAGGTGGAAGTTTCAGTGAGCCAATATCAGGACACTGCACTCCAGCCTGGCGACAGAGTGAGACTCCATCTTAAAAAAACAAAAAAACAAACAAAACGAAACAAAACAAAAAAAAAACAAAAAAAAAAAAACAGAAAAAAAAGAAAGAAAAGAAAAATATGTCACCTTCTCAGGCATTTCCTTAAAAATAATCACTGTTAACAAGTTCTTGTAATGGCTTCTAGAAGAATTTCAGTACTAATGCTACTCCAGGTTTATATGCACGTGTGTATATATTTTGTACGTTTACAGATACCAACAACTAATGCATATTGCTGTGGGCCTGGCTTGTTGTTTTTTTTTTTCATTTAATAATATACTCTGATTATCTTTCTATGTTTGCATATACTTATTTATTTCAATTCTTTTAAATGCCACATCATATTTCATTATTTGCATATAAAATAGGCCCCCTTATCTTGGCTTCCCTTTCCATGGTTTCTGTTACCAGCAGTCAATGCAGTACAAAAATATTAAGTGGAAAATTCTAGCAATAAGCTAATCTAGCGTAAGTTTTCAGCTTCATGCCATTGAGTAGCATGATGAAATGTCTTACTATCCTGTCTCGTACCCTTCACCCAGGATGTGAATTATCCATTTGTCCCTTGTATCTGCACTGCGTCCGCTACCTGCGCATTTGTCACTTAGTAGCTGCCTGGATTATTAGATTGACACATCATGAGAACGGTGAATATAGGAGAATAAGATATTTTCAGGGAGAGAAAGAGAGACCACATTCACATAATTTTTATTACAGTAGATTGTTCTCATTGTTTTATTTTCAGTTTTTGTTGATTTTTACTGTCAAATTTATAAATTAAACTTTATCATAGGTATATATGTATATAGAAAAATCATGGTATATACAAATGGCCTCTGACTTAAAATGATTCAACTTACTATTTTTCCACTTTGTGATGGTGGAAAAGTGGTATGCATTCAGTAGAAACAGTATTTCAAGTACCTATGCAACCATTTTGTTTTTCACTTTCAGTACAGTACTGGAGGAATTACATGAGATATCCAACACTTATAACAGGCTTTACTTTATGTTATTTTGCCCAGCTATAGGCTAATATAAGTGTTCTGAGCACATTTGAGGCAGCCTAGGCTATGATGTTTGTTAGGTTAGGTGTATTATATGCATTTTCAATTTGTGATATTTTTAACTTGTGATTATATGCATTTTCAATTTATGATATTTTTAACTTGTAATGGGACACAATCCCACATAAATCAACGAGTATCTGTATGGTGTTCATTACCCTTTGTGATTTCAGGCATCCACTAGGGGTCTTGGAATGCTTCCCTTAGGGACAAGGAAGGACAATTGGGCCATAAATTATATATTCATTTCCTTTTTGAAGGACATTTTGTTTCCAGGGTTATTTGCCATCTTATTACAAACAAAAATGAAATAAACATCCTTGTGTACCTTGGTTATCCTTTTCTAGGATATCTGTACATGCAAGATACAATAATCAGAAGATACACATTGTTAGATTCCAGGGGAGTCAGCGGGCAAGGGGTGGGCAGCTGAAAGAACACTCAAGAGATCACAGGTAGGTGGGGACATGGCTTTATTTAGCAGCTCACCCACACTGTCAGTGCTGCATTTATGCATGTCACACACAATACTGGCTCAGAGCCAGGTGATGAGCCCTCCCATGTTATGGCTACATAACTGTGATTATAAAATGCATGGGATTGTGCACCTGCGCTCCAATCTCATTGTGTCATGCTATTCCAGATGTGTACCTCGGCCTATACTTGACTACAGTGCAGCCATCATCCTTACACACGTATCTCACCCTTTGTAGATGTTTTCCAATACCTTCCATAAAAGTTGATAAATGTCTACCTTTATTGATTATATATGGAGAATGTGTGTTTTCCTCACATCATTTCCAGCAATGGGTATTCTCAAACTTTAACATTTTTGCCAACTTGATGGGTGAACACCACCTCATTTTGTTTGGATTTGCACTATTTCACAATATGAGTCTCCTTGGACCTTAAATATCTCAAGAGACTCTCCTGATAGTTGTTTCTCCTACTACACTAGTGAGTCTTGCTTAACTGCTTTTCTCCACCCACACCCACACTTCCCAGTATTCCGGTGCTTGGCATAATACTCTGGCACAGAGAAGCTTGTAAACAGTTGCTTAACTGATTGACTAAAATTAATCACCAACTGTACAGAAATGGTTTTACTTCGTGTGTGTGTGCCTCTGTGTGTGTTTTACCCAAATCCTAAGCCAGTAATAGCTAACATTTATTGAACATTTTTTTAATGACGGTGTTCTAAGTATCACATATATATTATCTTTGTTAATCTTTATAACCACCTGTAAGGTAGGTACAATTATTATTATTACCACTTGATGAAAAATGAAACACAGAAAGATTGAATGGATTTTCTCGATCTATAGGTATAGGCTTACAGTGATAAAATTCAACAAAGGGAGGGATGAGTAATCGATGCATTTAGTCTCTGTGCTACACACTGCCTCTCAGTTGCTGAACTGCTATTTTCGTATTTCCCAGGCAAATAATACCATAAACTTGTGCTGGTATAGATTTCTAGGTAATACCTCTCAAAATTTGATAATAAACTTATGGTGTTCTGTTAATGGGTGGAGGTAAAATCTGCATAAGTGAAACAGGATTAAAGCCAACATGTATATGAATTCTTATATATGCACTTATCTGACTTCTACTGGAAATTTGTTTACAGTAGGGTATAAAATGTGGCTATTCTTGTGGTCTTAAAGATTCAGTGGAAGTTATAAATGCTAAGAACAAAAAAAAAATGGATTCTAAAACACCACAGAAGTGCTGGTCTTGCAAATGGAATGGCCCACCAGTGATGGTCATAGCAGAGTTAGCGCACCATATGAATAGGGGACATCAGAGCCTGGGGACTAGAAGGGCTGCTTCAGAGAGGGCTGCAGGTGTGCAGAAAACTCTTGATTGTCACAGGGAGAGGAGGGCCTTCTGCTTTTTCACCTTAAACCAAGTGTGGAACTTCAAGGGAACTAATTACCAAGATGGATGTGTGATCCTTGAAATTTGGGCATTTGCAAATGGCTATCTGATTCAATCCTGAGAGTGTCTGAGGGTAAAAGATGGCGGTTGGAATGAATGTGAGAGCACCCGAAAAACAAAGCAGCCAGGGGAGGCAGCCAATGAATTAGAGTTTCCTATATAGGGATGTGCTCACCTGGGGAGCCTTCGAGGAGTTCCAGGAAGGAGGGATCAGCTTATAAATATCTGCAAAACACACACACGCACACACACGCACACACGCGCACACACACATACATGCGTGCACACACACGCACACACACATGCACACGCACACGCACACACACGCACAGGCACACACATTGCATAAAACAATATTCCCAGATCTCTGTCCATTACCTCTCCTTTCTTTCTGCTCTATCCCTGGAGTATCAGAGGCCACACAGTGAATGAGTGAGGAGGAGATGAGGAAAAGTCTAATGAACGGGTGAAGAACCCCATCCTGGCCTCTTCCCTGCTGCAGATGTTCTAGTTGGAGGCACTAAAAAGGCTGAAGGGTGGAGGGAAGCTCTATGATGTATGAGAGATTCCATGGGGGGACGTTGTAATACCTGAAAATAACCAGAAAAACTATGGAAACCAGCCCAGATTCCATTCACATACTAAGAAAGCTCCAGGAGAACCTTAAAGAAGCAACTTATAGTGGAATACAGGTCAAGTTCACTCTTTGGCAACTTCAGAATGGGGTGGGAGCCCAGCTCACTTCTTGGCTCTGGAGTCTGGACACCCTCTATGAATTCCCAGCTCAGTGTCCGTCCCACGTGTTTACCCAGTCCTTTCAGATGACATACCATGGGCACACACCTATATTCTGGTCTCTCTCGTTTTTCAGGCTACTACAGGAAAAGATTGGAAAAGAAGAGAGATATGACACCATTGTCCTGTTATTATATCCAAAGCTCCATTCAAAGGCATGTAAACATGCACTAGTGTCTGTATGATCACACATTTGTATGTATTATCATTTGCTATTAGTTTTATTTCTTCTATTTTAAATGTTATTATCCAAACAGGCTGGGCACAAGCTTTCCGTACTTGTTCCACCATAAATAAACAATAATGCCTAAACACAATTTGTAAAATGTCATCTCCAAACCACAGCTAGGATGCTGCATAAGTAGGAAACCAAAATTAAATCTAACTGGGCACCATGCCCAGACCACAGGCTTCCGGCAAACAGACAGAAAGGGAGGAAAAAAGGAAGACACTAACTTGCAAAACATGGGTGGAATCACAGGGAAAGCCTAGCAATTAACCCTAAGACCAGGTTGTCTGTTCTGGGATCCACCTTTTACTTACCTTTGGAAAATGGATGTTGAAAATTATTCATTTTTATTTGAAGTGAGTCTCTATTATTGGCATCGCCTTAATGTAAAGCTAGAGAAACAACACTTTAAAAAAAATCTGCAGGTGTTGATCATTTTCTGCAGTCACTCACTAATACCAATAATAATAATAATGACATCAACAACAGAAGATTCAATAACCACAGTAACAAGAGCTGCTCCCCTCTGCTGGCCAACGTGGCAGACGCTGTTGGTGCCTTGCCCTGTACCCTTCAGCACATCTGAATTTACTTAGAGCTCTAATCCTTGGCAAGCTGACAGCTTCCAACCTCAAGCATTGATACCAAGAGCAATCCAGGAAAGCAGTTGCTAAGACAGGGCTTTAGAACAAAGCCACTCACTGTCTGGCTGGCAATAAGTGCACAACAACAGTAAAAAGTGAGTACAGGCAGTTCTTGACATGACTTTGTGGTCCGATGGTTAAACATTTTACTGATGAATTAGGAAGTTGTATGGGAAAGGGATTCAATGACTGAGGATCATATAACAGGCACAGGAGACAGGCAAGTGAAGGAAACAATGCCTATTTTCTTTACTTAAAATCAGCTGATTGTAGATGTTAAACCCCATCCAGAAATACCTGTGTGGCAACACCTAAACTAGTGTTGGATTAAGTAACTTGGTATTATATCCTAGCGAAGTTTACACATAAAACAAACCATTACGAAGGTTCTTTGTTAAAGTAGGGTCTTATGGATGTCAGATGATATCCCGGAGTCCTGCTCAACATCTAGCTTACAGTGATCCATGATATCAACAAGAAAAATGATGCCAGGGATCATTTTTCTGGTCCATAAAATTGAGATAGACAGATTGGGAAATTGACACAAAATCTCCATATTGGGATCTGTGGGGTAAAAGCTATCATAGTGGAGAGGGCCAAGTAGAAAACTCCGAAATCATCAACACTGTTTTCCTCATACCCAAGATAATAAATTAGAAACAATACTGTATCCCAAAGGAAAGAGATGAGAAAGGGGTGATTAGTGCCATTCCTAAGGAAAAAGTTTCAGAGGAGTGAGTGATCACAATGATAGCTTTTTTAAACACATTAAACAACACAGAACTGTAAGAATCCTGGAGGATTACTGTAGACCACTTCAAGTTCAACCAAGTACTATCTCCAATTGGAGCCATCGTGACAAATAGTGTCTTTGAATGAGCATATAAATATGTCCTCAAGTAAGTGGGGCATGGACTCGGCTGTTGTGTTCTTTTCCAACTTTATCAGAAAAGATGATGAAGGCAGTTTGAATTTGCATGAAATAAAATACACACACACACACACACACACACACACACACACAGTCACACAGAGTTTTGCCCTGGCAATGTGCTAACTCTCTACTCTCTGTCACAGTAAAACCCAATGTGGCCTTGATTTTCTGGATATTATGGCAAGCATCACATTGATCAATTACATGATGATACTATATTGATTGAGCCAGATGAGCAAACAGTGGCTAAAAACTGGAAGCCTGTGTAAGAAACCTATGCTCCAGAGGATGGAAAATATGCCAAAAAATGTTTACAGACTACATGTGTCTGTACATTTTTAGGGGTTGAATAGTTAGGACAATTGTAATGTCGTGAGATCATGAGAACATAAGATCATGATCACAAGACCATGCTTTGGAAACATGGCCTCCAAAGTAAAAGATAAGTTACCATGTCTCAAACCTCCCACAATGAAGAAGAAATCTCTGTGCCTGGTGGGACTCTTTGGGTTCTGGAAGGAACATGGTCCATTGCTAGAAATGTTGCCTTGGTCCATCTTCTGGGTAACACAGAGGCTGCCGGTGCTGTTGGGGCCTAGAGAAGGAAAGGGCTCTGCAGGAGGTCCAGCTGCTATGGAAGCAATACTGGAGTTCGGGCCATATTGGGGACCAGTATGGACCATATGATCTGGCATACACTATGGTGTTGGAGATTTCAGTGGTGGAAAAAAAAATGTCATTAGGAATTTTTGGCAAGATTCAATGAGAAAATATATATATATACATATATATATATGTATATATATATATATACATATATATATATATATACATATATATATATATATATATATAAAACAAGCCATTAGAGTTTAGTAACAAATCCAAGCCACTGCAGCAAATAATTGTAAGTTTTTGAGGAACAACTCCAAATGAAGACAAAATATCTGACCACAGGACATTCTATGACAATGTAGCCAAAACTACCCATTGTAAACTGGGTTTTGTCAAATATATGAGGATCAACCCAGGAAGCCCAACAAATCATTCTTAATAGGATGAACGTGTTGCATCCAGGTATGGGAGTAGCACCATCACAATGGAACGTCCCACATCCTGCCCCATCCAGATACCAGCCTGAAAGAGGATTGAGTGTCCTGCTGAAGGCATCTCTGAAGTGCCGGTTTAGGGGAAATACCCTGTGAAAAATAGTGCCAGGATTTTTATAAGCATTTAATCAAGATTTTACATGGTGGTGTGTCCCCACAGGAAGAGTACATGGGTTTAGGAACTGAAGAATAGAAGCAGGAATGACTCCAAGTGCTATCACACCAAATGACTTACATGAGAATTTTTACTTCCCATCTCCACGACCTTGGAATATAGAATTAGAAATCTTGGTTCTTCAAAGGGAGGCACTTCTTGCAAGGGAACACTGTAACAGTTCTGTTTAATTATAAGCTACAGCTGCTACCTGAGCAGTTTGGGCTTGCGGTGTCAATAGACTACCAGGCAAAAGGAATTACCATCTTTGCAGCAGAAGTAATTGACTCTGATAGGCAGTTGGAGGCTCGGCTCCTGTTTCAGAATGTGACCAAAGAGGAACATCTGTGGAACTCTTATAATCCACTTAGGTAGGTCTTGGTGTCTCTCCATTGCTAATTGTGATTGTAAAATAACAGGTTTGGCAACGCTGGCCTAATAAGGACATTGTAACCAAGGACTGAGGCCTCTTGGTGAGGAGGTCTAGGTCATGCCACAGATAAACCCCTGATGATAGCAGAGGTGAAGGAGAATCTAGACCGTATGGTGGCTAAAGGAGGACAACACTACTGTGTAACTGAAACTTGTTGTAGTATCAGGGGCTATAGTTCATCACACTTACCTGCCTCTTAAGTTTCTTCTAAGGAAGACAAGTCCACTGGAATCCTGAAGGAGTCATATCCTGAATATATCTGAAGAAATGCATTTCAGCGTTCCAAGACATAGACTCTGGTAGACACACGGAGGAGCAACGCAGATTTCTCTTCAAGAAACAACTTCCTTCCCAGCTACAGGGACTGTGGTTAGCAGACCAACTCCAGCTGTCCCTCAAAACGGAATTGCCTGAGATCACTGTCTCTGGACAGCCCACATTGGTGACTGAGGGAGGAAGGCATGTGAAGACCTGGCCATTTTGGCTCAACTGGAATGATTTTGACTGGCATTACCTGTTTGGGGCTGAGGATCTTTCTGGCTGTGCCACAGTTTGACTTCTTCCTCTGCACAGTCCTGCTTTCTCCCCTGTTCCTTTTATGGTATCTATTGATCCCTAATTAACACCTTCCCTGTGACACTTCCATTTTAGCATCTGCTTTCAGAGAGCCCAACCAGCTGCGTGCTCCTAGAAGTATAGGTGAATAACTGTACTCACAGGAATTGGAAGGTGGCTTCTCAGAAGTTCTACTGTGCCTGGTATGCAGTAGTTATAAACACTTGCTGGCTTGAACCGAAATGACACTGAAGCTGATGTTTTAAATATATAGTATTTGTAGTCATGACCTAAGTAATCACACTACCTCAGTAGTCATATTCAGAACTCTAAAGTCTAGGCTAGTAGGGAGTTGGTGGCGGGGATTGTAGAAGAATAAGCTGTACAAGTTTGTAAGAGAAAACTTCTCCAAGTGGATGTCTTGACCTAAACAATAAGCAAAGAAATGAGTATGGATGAAGGTGAAATTTGTGTGCTGACAGAGGAATTAAATGTAAGAGAAATGGAGTAATAAAGCAAAAAAAAAAAAAAAATGGAGAAAATGGTGGAGCCCTCCAAGGCAATGATCAGTGCCAAACACTTGTCATATGTTGTCTCTTTATTTCTAGTAAAAATGGTACAAAAGAGGTACTATTATTTAATATTTTACCTGTAAGAACCTGATGCTTAGCAACAGTAATATATTCTTTGTGAACCTACTTGAGAGGTAGTGTTATCAATCCACAGTATAGAGGAGCAGACAGAAATAAAATTTGGAAGTAGTGACACCATTGGAAGATGTATACTGGAAACTACCTGTCCTCAGACTTCTGTTTACATGGAAATTAAAAAGCCTTATTTGTTTAAGCCATTGTTAAGTCTAATTTGTGGTTACCTGCAGCTTAAGTCATTCCTCACTGATTCATTGGGGGTAATTACACATTTAATGTCAATTGAAATCTAATGTGCTGTTAAAACTTTCTCTTTTATTAGAAGGCTATTGCAAACAAGATCATATGCAATTCCAAAAAGAATCTTACGATTTTTCTGAGTTTAATGGAAAATAATGAAGTATAAATAGCAGGCTTGCCCACTTCATTGTTTTTGTTTGGTTAAAAAAATTATTTATACAAAATACCTCTTTAGAGTTATAGGTTTCAGAAGTGATAAAATAGGATGGAGGCAAACTTAGCACCACCACCTGCCTGATTCAGGCATCCCTGCATCTTCAAAATGCACACCTGTCCTTTGCTTGAACATTTCATCAGTGCTAATGAACTACCGTGTGGGAGAGCCTGTTTCCTGGAATCAGAGGTGTGATATTTTATAAAATTATTTTTTGTGAAAGTTTAAATTCAATTATCTATTCAGAGCCTCATCTATTGAGCCCATTTCTGAAGCTAAACATAAGTTTATTAGTTCTCCTATATTTCATAAAGATAGATATACTGTCTTTCTTTCCCCCAAAGCTGATATATTATTTCATTCACCTAGTAAAGAAGTTTTATTTACCATTTACTATACCCGAGAGACTATGTTAGATATTGAGGATATGGTATTGAGTAAAATGACAGTAAACATACTCTTTTAGGATTAAATTCTAGGAGAGAGAGGCAGATGTTAAATGACTGAAGGGGATAAAAACGAGTGTTATGAACATTAAATCTAATGTGCTGTCGCATTAGATTTGTATAATTCTATACATTTATTGTATAACACAATACATAAAATATACAATAAAAAATTCAAGGGGAACTTCTTTAGATGAAGTAGATAAGGAAGTCTAATCCAAGGAGGAAATTTGTAAGCTGAGCCTTGAGAATGGTAAGAAGTAGCTAGCCATGTGAAAATCTTCAGAGAGTTATACAGGAAGATAAAAAAGCAAATGTAAATTCTTCAAGGCATGAATAAAATTGGTCTTTGTAGAAAAAAGCAATAACACAGATGTGCCCAGTGAGTAGAGAATGAGGGGTAAGTAAAAAGATGGCATTGGAAAGAAAAAAAGAGCAAGATTAGTTATGAGACAATGTGAACTTTGGATTTGATTAGTAAGGGTAATTAATGGGGTAGGTTATCTAATACCTACCCTGAGATACTGGCTTTCCCAAGTTCCTAGGAGTGTCACCTTATAGACATCACCAAGCTCAAGCTTTAGTTTTCTCATTTGTGAAAATAAGAGAGTCAATTAACCTAAACATTCTTTTCAAGGATAAATGAGGACATACTGATGTGTAAGTTATTTGTCAGTTTAGAGTGCTGGATATATAAGTACTATTTTTAGCATTACATTTTTCCTTTTTCTAAACTGAATATTTTGATTTCTTTACTCTTCATTATATAGATATTACATAATCCTCTGTTTCTTCTCTATCCTGGTGTCCCACTCTAAGAACTAAAGTATTTAGGTTAACCAACAATGTAATTCCAAGCATTACTTTGCTTTGTGTTCATTCAAATCTGTCTCAGACTTATACAAAGAACATGATAGGGCAGCCTATGATGTCTGAGAGGGAGGACATAAAAGTTTAAAGCCACCTTTATGCTGTATCAGGAAATGGCATCCTCTTTTATGGGAACCTGACAGATTCTCACTGATCTTATAGGCTAGTTTGTCCATTTGTATAATGGGGATAATAGCCTTCTAAATTAATTGGATGAAATAGCTGTGAGGAGGAGTCCTGAACTTCAGGTACACAAGATAATACCAATACTAACCCGATCCCTCCCCCACAAAGTTAACAAATTGTCTCTTAATGGATTTGAAGCCACTAGTATACCATTTAGTGCCCCACAGCAGTAATTTATTAAATGGACCCTGGTGTCATGAGCATGATATTCGAATGTAGCACCTGACCCACAGCAACGCATGCTTTCTTCTCTTACCAGTGATCTCAGGAACGTGGAATAAGGAAAATGAAAGAGAAAACAAACTCCAAACTTACAAATGCATTAAGAAAGAACTTATATTTTAGCAACAATTTCTCTAAAAATAACAACTAGCATACTTATAAGTTACAAACAGTGACAAATTTTGTATGTATACATTTAGAGCATCTCTAATCCCAAAAATCTGAAATCCAAAATTCTCTAAAATAATTTTTGGAGGGTCATTGGCCCTCAAAAGGTTGAAATACTCAAAAAGTTTGAAATACATAAAGTTTCAGAACATTTCAGATTTTGGGCTTTTTTAGATTAGGGATACTCAACCAATATATAATGCAAATATTCCACATTTCAGATAAGGAATACTCGACTTGCATGAGATTTTATATGTATATACATTATGTATATATGATATATCCTTTATCCAAATTCACTCCCATCTATTAGAAATCTTTTATCCACCAACTAAAGAAAAAATAAGAACATGTGAAAATAGAAAATGGAGAATTATTAGATGTATGAGAGATTAAATTTTAGTCCTATGGAAAAAAAAATATATATGAAACCATTCACCTTCTGCCAATCAAATTGTTTCAAATGAACCACCAGCTAACTAAAAGAAGGCTTTGCTATCCCTCACAAGACTCAACATATTCCAGAAGGGAGAAACGTTGATAGCCATTTTTTTTTCTAGCCCAAAATAAATTACACGAATTTGTACCTGCTTTACAATAGAGTGCTGGGTTTTCAAACATGTAAGTCAGTTATTATATGTATCTATACCCCTGTTTCTCCATCACCTTGTTGTGTAGGTCACATATCACACGTTACGGTGCAGTAATAAGCAACTCTAAAATTTCAGTGGTTCAACACACAAACAAAAGTGCATTTTTTGCTCATGCACATTTTCCTGTTGTTCTGAATTCCAGTTCATATCTAGTGAACCAGGCTCTGCAAAACTCTATGAAACTATCACTGCACCACCTGGAGCACACAGCCTCTTCAGCTGATACATCAGGGGAAGAGAGTGCTGGAGGATCTCACATCAAAATTTAATGCTTGACTGGGAAATAATACACAACCTTTCTGCCCACAACTATTTGTCCAGAACTAGTCAGATGGTCCTGCTATGACTAACTAGCAAGGAAGTATGCTCCTGCATCTCAGAAGAGGAGAACCAAATAATCATAAGTAGTAGAAGTAGAGGTAGTGATTGTCTAGTAGCTATTTTACTAAAAGTAGCTATTGAAGAAGTAGCTATTGTTCAACGCTTCGAACAATAATCCTCTCAGATTCTTTGAATACCTTCCATGTCTCAGTCTCTCCTTTTTCTACCTTTATTTTTCCTAAACATCTTTTTAAAGACATAACACATACACCATACTCTGCACTCATTTAAAGTGTTTTTCAGTATGCTAAGAGTTGTGCAACCATCATCATAATACAATGTTAGAACTTTTTCATATCAATCTGAAAAGAAACTCTGCATTAGTTAATCTCCATTTCTTATGGGACCATCACCACCCCACTTCTCACACCCTAGGAAACATCTCATCTGTTTTGTGTTTCTACAATTTTTTTTATTCGGGACATGTAAAATAAATGGAATCATACAACATATAGTCGTTTGTGACTGACTTGACATAGTAACATGTTTTAAAGTTTCATTCATATTGTAGCAAGTATCAGAAATTCATTTCTTTTTATTATGATTGAATAACATGTCACTATGTGGATATGACCCATTTATTTACCACTTCATCAGTTGATAGGCCTTTATATTGTTTCTATTATTGACTATTGTGAATAATTTTGCTATAATCATTTGTGTATGAATTAAAATGTGGACATATGCCTTCATTTCATTTGGGAATATATCTACAAGTAGAATTACTGGATCATATCGTGCTATGGTTTGGTTGTGTCCCCACCCAAATCTCATCTTGAATTTTAGTTTCCATAATCCCTACCTATTGTGGGAGGGACCCAGTGGGAGGTAATTGAATCATGGGGGCAGTTATCCTTATGGTATTCTCATGATATTGAGTGAGTTCTCATGAGATCTGATGGTTTTATAAGGGCTTTTCCCCATTTTGCTCAGCACTTCTCCTTGCTGCCACCATGTGAAGAAGTGTTTGCTTCCCCTTCCGCCATGATTGTAAGTTTCCTGAGGCCTCCCCAGCCATGCTGAACTGTGAGTCAATTAAACCTCTTTCCTTTATAAATTACCCAGTCTTGGATATGTCTTTATTAGCAGCATGAGAACAAACTAATACATAGAGTAACATCATGTTTAATATTTTGAGGTACTGCTAAACTGTTTTTTAAAGTGGCTACTCAATTTTACAGTCCCATTAGTAGCAGATGAGAGTTCCTATTTTTATTCATTCTCTCCAATACTTGTTATTGTCTGTCTTTGTTACTATAGCTCTCCTAGTGGGAAAAAGTAATATTTCATTGTGGTTTTGATTAGCATTTCCCTAGCAGTTAATGATGTTGAGTATTTCTTCTGGCCATTTGTATATATTCTTTAGAGGAATATCAACTGAGATATGTTACTCTTTTTTAAATTGGGTTATTTATATTTAATGATGGAGTTGTGAGATTTCTTTACACATTCTGGATAGAAATCCCAGTCCCTTTTTTGATATAAGATTTTAAATATATTCACCCATTCTAAGGTTTATATTTTTACTTTCTTGATAGTATTAGTTGCAGCATAAAAGTTTTAAATTTTGATGAAGTCCACTATAGGTTCTGTTTTATGGGTTTTTTTAGTGTTACGTCTAAGAAACCATTGCCTAGCCCAAGGCCATGAAGATTTACTTATGTATTTCCTGTGAAAATATTTGTATTTTAGCACTTACATTTAGGCATATGGTCCCCTTTGGGTAATATTTGCATATGGCATGAAGAAGGGGTCCAAATTTATACTTTTGCACATGGATAGCCAATTGTCCCAGCAAAATTGTTGGAAAGTCTGTTCTTTCTCCATTTTATTGTGTTGGCACCTTTATCAAAATCAATTGGCCATGGATGTAATGGCTTCTTTATGGATTCTCATTTACATTGATATAAATATTTATTGTGTACCACTCTTTCTTAATTACTATAGCTTTGTAGTAAGTTTTAAATTTGAGAAATGTGAGCCCTCCAACTTTGTTATTAAATACGAATAGCAAAGTCATTATCCTTTGCATTAAATATGAATTTAAAACTTGGCTTATCAATTCTGGGGGTGGGGAATAGCTAGCTGAGATTTTTACAGGAATTGTGCTGTATCTGTAGATCAATTGAGGAATATTGGAATCTTAACAATGTTAAGTTCTGATGAATTTCTTTCTGTGTGTTTTATGGTTGTATCAGTTTTTTATTGCTGCTGTAACATTTTACTGCATATTTAGTGCACTTAATGGCTTAAATCACACAATGTTTTACAGTTATTTTACATTTTTGTTTGTTTGTTTTTTAATCATTGGTCCATCTCAGTGTTATGGGACTCAATCAAAATGTCAGCATGGCTGCCTTTCTCTCTGAAAGCTCTAGAAGAAAAGCAGTTTCTTTGTGTTTCCCAGTGTCCTCAAGCTGCCAACATCCTTGGCTCATAGTCCCTTTCCATCTTCAAATCCAGCAATGGTGGGTTGAGTTTTTCTTTCTCACGTTACATCACTTATACCTTGGCTCTTATTCGTTCTTCTGCTTTCACGTCTACAAACCTTTGCGATTACACTGGAACAACCAAATAATGTAGGACAATCTCTCTATCATAAAGTCAGCTTATTAGCAACCTTAATTCTTCTTTTCCATGAAACAAAATATATTCACAATTTCCAGGGATAAGGGGGTTATCTTTGAGGAAGCATTATTCTGCCTGCTGCAGTAATTCAATGTAGTTGTCTTGCACTCTCTTTGTTAAACTCATCCTTAAGTATATTTTTCTTTTCTATAATATTGTAAATATAAATATCTTTTTAATTTGTTTGGGTTTATTTATATTTCTATAAAAGCAATTGATTTCCACATGTTGATCTTGTATTCACTCATGTTGCTGAACTTGTCTATTAATTCTTGTGGTGTTTTAGTGGATTCCTTAAGATTTTCTATTTAATGAGATCATGTCACCTGAAAATACAGACATTTTCACTCCTTAATTACAAATATAGATAACTTCTATTTATTTTTTTTCTAATTTCCCTGACTGGAACCTTTGCACAATGTGAACAGTAGTGGCAATAGTAGTCATTCTTGTCTTGCTCTTGATTTTAAAGAAAAAATATTATGTCTTTCACCTTTAAGTATGATGTTGCATGTGAGATTTTTCATAGGAAGCATTTATCAGGTAGTTGACTGTTCTGTATTTTTTAACAATACCCTGGGGGTGTAAATTGCTCCACTATCTGATCCAATTAAATAGGGACTCTTTTAAAGGGGAAGGGTGCTGAGACTTTGAGGTTGCTCAGACCTCAGGGAGGCATTTTTTAGCTGTCTCTTTGCCTGGTTTTCTCTGGTCATCTTCAACTGCTCTACCAATTCCACTGTTGCTGTAAGATCTTGTAGCTATCAGTTCCCTTTTAGTTGCTCACCACTAAGATATCTATTGTTTTTGGCAGTGCCCTTGGGCATGATCTTTCCCATACTGTTTTAAATAAAGCCAGTGTTGTTTGGGAGAGTTATACTCATGTCCTATTGCCACTGTAACCAATAACTGCAAACTTAGAGACTTAAATAATAGGTATCTATTCTATTACAGTCTTTAGGTAAGAGTTTAAAGTCAAGATGCTGGCAAGGCTATGTTCCTTCTGCGAGTTCCATGGTAGAATCAGTTTATTTGCTTTTCAGCTTCTAGAGTCTATTAACATTCCTTGGCTTGAGGCCTTCTCTAAATTACTCCAACTCTTGCATTTATCGTTACATATACTTGTGTCTCTCCCTCTGACCTTCAGGTTTCCATCTTATAAGGACCCTTTTCATAACAATGGAACCACCCAGATAATCCAGGATCATCTTTTCATCTCAATATCCTTAATTTAATCAAATTTGAAAAGTGTCTTTTGCCATGTAAGGTAATATCTTTGCATGTTCTATGTATTAAGACATGGACATCATTGGAAAAACCTTGTTCTGCTTCAGCTGTGAGGTTCTTTGTGCGTAAGTCTTGTCTCTTTCCATGGGCAGAAAATCCGTGTCATTGGATGAGATATTGGCCCACTTCTCCCAGAGTAGCAACCCTGATCTCAGAGGAGATTTTAGACCCTTGTCTTCTGTGCTTGCCCCTCCTCGTGTGGAACTTCTGCCCTACAAGCAAGCCGTGGCAGACAGGTGCATTCAAGGCCAAGGATTCTTTACCTGATTCACCTAGAGCAGAGCCTTCACTCTGAAAGTGGTGGCTGTATCAGGAAGAGCTCTGGAACAGAGTTATCTATAATCTGGAACTGAGACTATTACTGGGGGGTCCTTGTTCCCAGAGCTCCCAAGATGGTGGCAGGCTGCTTCCAAGATGGCGGCAATCTTCTTATTCTCCGACCTTGGGTTCTTGGCCTCAGAGATTCCAAGGAATGGAATCTTGGGCCATGCAGTGAGTGTTATAGCTCTATTAGAAGCTGTGGGTCATGGAAGAGAACCATGAAACCCAGCAACTAGTGTTCAGCTTGCTTAGGATGAACCCGGGCACTTAGCCATGCAGGAACAATGGTGAGCCTTTAGCCCAATCCAGAGCAGCTATGGACACCTCGCTGGATCAGGAGTACAGGAGACACCGTGCCAGATCCAGAGGGGTGGAAGTCAGCGGAAGGCCTGCTATGGCAGCAAACAGCAGTGGTGAATGGCGAGCAAAAGCTCAGCTCAAACCGTAACAAACATGGACCACAAGAGTGTGCAGCTGCAAGATTTAATACAGTGAAAACAGAGCTCCAATACAAAGGGAGGGGACCCAAAGGGGGTAGCTGTTGTCAGATCGAATGCCTGGTTTATATCCTGATCATTGTCCCTCCCACTGTGCTCTCAGGCGATAGATGATTGGCTATTTCTTTACCTCCTGTTTTTGCCTAGTTAGCATTTTAGTGAGCTCTCTTTACTACCTGATTGGTCAGGTGTGAGCTGAGTTGCAAGCCCCCTGTTTAAAGGTGGATGCAGTCACCTTCCCAGCTAGGCTTAGGGGTTTTCAGTCAGCCTAGGAAATCCAACTAGTCCTGTCTCTCAAGACTATGAAATGTGCCTCTGGCCTACCCTCCCTGGTTGAACTGCAGTCTTCAACTGAAAATTTGGTGAAGACATAGCCCCATATTCTTGGTAAATATGTCTGGAGTATAGCTCCCCTCACACTCAGCTGGGGAGAAGAGGGAGTGGTATGAGTGGATTATGGTTCAAATGCCATGAGCTCACTGTTCTTACCAAGATTTAGTAGATTTTCTTAAGTATATTTTTCCTCTATCTACTATATGCCCTTAGGACCATTTCTGGAGACTTTGAATGTTTCTATATGTTTTATTCACAATTTTCAGTGGTTAAGTGATTGCTTCATTGGCAATAGTTTCCACCATGCTTTCCCTGTTACCATTACAGAAGTTTTTCTCCATGTACCCTTTTATGTTGTGACATGCTATGATTCCCTCTGCCCTACAACTCCCACTCACTCCAATAGAATGGAACCACCTATTCAGGAGATGCCAGACACATTATTACCAATGTTGTTTTTTAAGAAATTTTTTTTATTTCCATAAGTTACTGGGGAACAGGTGGTGTTTGACTACATGAGTCAGTTCTTTAGTGGTGATTTGTGAGATTTTGGTGCACCCATCACCCGAGCAGTATACACTGCACCCAGTTTGTAGTCTTTTATCCCTCAATCCCTTCCCATCCTTTCCTTGTGAGTCCCCAAAGTCCATTGTGTCATTCTTATGCCTTTGCCTCCTCATATCTTGGCTCCTACTTATGAGTAAGAATATATGATGTTTGTTTTTCCATTCTGGGGTTACTTCACTTAGAATAATATTCTCCAATCTCATCCAGGTTGCTGCAAATGCCATGAAGTCATTCCTTTTTATGGCTAAGTAGTATTCTATCTCATATATATCACATATATATGATATATATGTGATATATGTGTGTGTGTGTGTGTGTGTGTGTGTGTGTGTGTATATATATATATATATATATATAACAGTTTATCCACTCATTGATTAATGGGCACTTGGGTTGGTTCCACATTTTTGCAATTGTGAATTGTACTGCTATAAACATGCGTGTGCAAGTATCTTTTTTTGTATAATGACTTATTTTCCTCAGAGTAGATACCCAGTAGCGGGATTGCTGAATCAAATGGTAGTTCTACTATTAGCTCTTTAAGGAATTTCCACATTATTTTCTCCATAGTTGTACTAGCTTACATTCCCACCAGCAGTGTAGCAGTATTTCCTGTTCACCACATCCACGCCAACATGTATTATTTTTTATTTTTTTATTATGGTCATTGTTGCAGGAGTAAGGTAGTATCACGTTGTGGTTTTGATTTGCATTTCCCTGATAATTAGTAATGTTGAGCATTTGTTATGTTTGTTGACCATGTGTATATATTCTTTTGAGAATTGTCTATCCATGTCCTTAGCCCACTTTTTGATGGAACATGATCAAGGGGGTTTTATAGCAGGGATGCAGGGATGGTTTAACATATGCACATCGGTAAATATGATACACCACATAAACAGAATTAAAAACAAAAATCACATAATCATCTCAATAGACGTAGAAAAAGCATTCGACAAAATCCAGCATCCTTTGTGATTAAAACTCTTAACAAAATCAGCATACAAGAGCCATACCTCAATGTAATGAAAGCCGTCTATGACAAACCCGCAGCCGACATAATACTGAACGGGGAAAAGTTGAAAGCATTCCCTCTAAGAACTGGAACAAGACAAGGATGCCCACTCTCACCATTTCTCTTCAACATAGTACTGGAAGTCGTAGACAGAGCAGTCAGACAAGAGAAAGGAATAAAGGGCATCCAAATCAGTAAAGGGGAAGTCGAACTGTCACTATTTGCTGATTATATGATTGTCTATCTAGAAACCTTAAAGACCCCCTTTGTAAAAATTGTATTAGGACATGCCTTCCATTTGTTCACTGACAGATTGTAAAAAATCCATGTCCAAGATCTCTAAGATGAAGCTACAGAGGACAACATGATGATTTTCCCCACACTTTACATGCTGACTAACTCAAATCACTGTTTCCTGATGTCCGCCCTGAATTATGTTATTTTCATATGCGTGCTTCTTTTCTCTGAGCTGAAGCTCATAGTTTCTTTGCTCCTTTTAAATTTCACTTTGAGTCTTTAACTATATTGTCTCTATTCTGTCTTTATGTCTTCCTTTTAGCACTTCCTTTCCTTACTGTCTTATTTAAAATTAAACATCCTCTCTATCTGTAATTCACCTCTTATTTATTTCTGATGTTCAAGGTTTTTATATAGCAATTAATAATCAGGTAATCTTGAAATTAGGATTGTTGATGTCTTTCTAATTCGAAGAGGTTTTGAGGTTCCAGGTGGGCCCAGAGACTCTGAAATTTACTCCAGTTCCATCTCTTGTTGCTAATCCCCAATAGACCCTTGACATATGGTTCCTTGCCTTATTTATCATTTTCTGCACTGATACTCTCACACAAGCATTTCACAGGAGTTTAAAAAGAAAGGCTGGGACAGTAAGGAATGAATGTTGACTTCAGGGAGAACTAAAGAGGAAGTTTAGAGAGCATATAAGCTTAAAAAACGCAAAACATTTTCAAAGGGGATTGATTTGATAAGAAAAATAATAGAAGGGTAGGGGACAGGGAATAATAAATTTAGTTGATTCTTAAATGATTCAACTAATCTAGATGAAATAGGAGAAGACTGAGGAGAGGTTCTGGCACCTAGAATGTTAGGCTTTGGAATCTCAAATTCTCCCTCTCAGCAACGTCTTTTTATTCCACCCTTCCTTTCCTCTTGTCTCCCAAAAATATGTCACAGAGATAGAAATAAACAAAAAAAGGTTAAGAATTGTACTTTAAGCATAGTGTCAGAATTTATCTTATGGAGGAGGCTGTCTTTTGATTAGCAAAACAAACTGGCACAACTTTTTAACTGAAAAATAGGCGTCAGATTATTTCCTAGTAGGTTGGGAAACAACCTAAAAAATAATGAATAAATAAACAGAATGCATTGCTTAATAAGCAAGAGGAGCAACAATAACTAGCATTTAGTGAGCTCTTACTATGAACCACATATATTTACAGGCATTACATATGCAACAATTTCTTTAATCTTCACCATCCTATGAGGTAGGTATTTCTAGTGGTCTCATTTTGTAGATGGAGAACACAAACCATAAATTGATCAGTAACTTTCTCAATGTCACCAGAGTAATGATAGGGCAGGGATTTGAAAACTAAGTATTCCTCCATTCTGTCCACAGCAAGAAATATAGAAAGATACTTGACAAAAAGATGGCTGGGAAGAGAAGTGTGGGAACCCTAATAAAAAAATAATGGAGGAGAGCTGACATGAATCAGAGGAAGAAAAATATGGAAAGATGACCATGACTGGAACTTAGCGCATGGAGAGAAAGTCAGCTGGTGAAATTCTGTATTCACCAGAAAGATAGATTTTTTTTTTAGACAGAGCATCTCTCTGTCACACAGGCTGGAGTGCAATGGTACAATCTTGGGTCACTGCAATCTCCACCTCCTGGGTTCAAGCAATTCTTCTGCCTCAGCCTCAGCCTCCCGAGTAGCTGGGATTATAGGCAAGCACTACCATACCCGGATAACTTTTGTATTTTTAGTAGAGACGGGATTTCACTATGTTGGTCAGGCTGGTCTTGAACTCCTGACCTCAGGTGATCCACCTGCCTCAGCCTCCCAAATTACTGGGATTATAGGCATGAGCCACCGTGCCTCGCCTCTAGATTTTTTAGAAATATAGTTATTTAATATTCAACTTTAAACAATTATTTTTTTCTGTGCTGAGACATAAACACTTTCTAATAACTCAAGCTTTCAATAACAACCTGCTATGTGTTGCCAGGGTCTTAGAGAAAACGAAAGACAAAGGAACCATCTTCTTCCTTGAGGTCAACAATGGAAGGAGACGTAGAAGACACCAAAACAAGAACTTGGCAGGCTCAGGACATGACAACGGAGGTGATTTTTAAGACATCATCTTGGAAGTCTGCAAAACGTTAAGGGAGGCCATTGAATTCCCTTGACTAACAGAAAGGGATTCAACATAAGTTCATTATGAGTTGAGGTGACACTGTCAAGGCTGGAGGCTTGAAAATACACAGGAAGCTATCCTCTCAGAGACATGAAGACTGCATCCCTAGGCTCTGTGCTTTGCACCCGCTGGGCCTCAGGCAAGATGTGGAGCCATTGTGCCCATACTTTTATTCTTTATACATAAAAATTGTACATATTTCTAGGGCAAATGTGATATTTTAATATATGCATACAATGTGAAATGATCAAACCAGAGTGTTTGTGATATTGATTACCTCAAATATTTATTGTTTCTTTCTGTTGGGAACACTCAAAATCCTCTCTTCTAGTTATTTTGAAATATACTATAAATTATTGGTAACTATAGTCACCTTACTATGCTATAGAATACCAGAACTTATTCCTTCTATCTAAGTACAATCTTTTTTTTGGAGATGGAGTCTTGCTCTGTTGTTCAGGATGGAGTGCATTGCAGTCTTGACTTCCCAGGCTCAGGTGATCCTCTCACCTCAACCTCTCGAGTAAATGGAACCACAGGCATGCACCACTATGCCTGGCTAATTTTTAAATTATCTGTAGAGATGTGGGCTTGCTATGTTGCCCAGCCTGATCTCGCACTCCTGGGCTCAAACAATCCTCCCACCTCAGCTTCCCAAAGTGCTGGCATTACAGGCATGAGCCACTGCTCTGGGATCTAACTCTTTTTATCTAAATATGCTTCTCCAGTTAGCTGGCTAGCTAAATGGATGGATAGACAGATAAAAAGATGGATGGATGGATGGATGGATGGATGGATGGATGGATGGGTGCATGGATGCATGGATGGACGCATGAATGGATGGATAGATAGATTAAATAGAAAGATAATAATTAAGTAAAAAGTATTGATAATAATCTTTTGATAAATTTAAACTATTCCCTCATTTATTTCCATTGTCATGCATTATTTTTGTATTTTTTATTCTTATTGGAATGTGATATTGACACGCATTAAATAAAAAATTACTGTATATTCCTAAACAGACAGATCCTCGAGTTTAAAAAGTTTCAGTAAGTCATATTGGCATTTTAAAATCCAGTAATTAGGTAATTTTATTCATTCATTCACTTATTTGTGTATTACAAACATTTCTTGAACACATCTTTCTAAAAAGTATATTAGAGATCAAAGTTCAATGGGAAGATATATAAAATGTTACTGTGGGGGGCCAGGCATGGTGGCATGCCGGTAATCCCAGCACTTTGGGAGGCTGAGGTTGGAGGATTGTTTAAGCCTAAGAGTTCAAGACAAGCCTGGGCAAAATGGCAAGACTCTGACTCTACAAAAAAAAAAAAAAAAAAATTAAAGAAAAAAGTTAGTCGTGGTGGTGTTTACCTGTAGTTCCAACTACTCTGGAGGCTGAGACAAGAGGATCACTTGAGCACAGGAGTTTAAGGCTGCAGTAAGCTGTGATCATGCCACTGTACTCCAGCCTGAGTGACAGACAAAGACCCCATCTCTAAAGAAAAAATAAAATAAATAAATGTATATACAATTTTACTGTGGTGGATGATTTGGATAATGAGGTAGGGTGTGACAAATCAGGGTATAAAATAACACTTTATTGGTGTTTTGGCTAGATATTAAGAAATCTATTTTTACTTTCTCCACCACTTCTTTCCCAGAAAGAAAATAAATGCAGAGCATGAAAAACTAGCCCTTACATATTATGTAAGGATTTAGATGTTAAACTCCACTGTAGAAACTGATAACTTCACCTAAACCATTTGGTAGGCTCCTTTCATATATACCAGGAAGGATGGAATTTTACTGAGAAAAAACTTTTAATAAGACAGGATTAAGGTATTTCTCTACCATCGCAAAGCCAGAAGGTCAGGTATAATCACTCTGAAGCAAAGAAAGTCGAAGTCAGAGAACATCTGCTGGTGCCTGTGTTCCTCACAGGTGGGAGGGCAACCAGAGAATTTATCCTGTTGCATCAAATGAGTTGACTGGAGCTGTCTGCTCCAGACCTGGTCGTCTGAGACAGCAGACTTGGACCCAGCAGCAAGCGTTGAAGGATGGAGGGAGGAGGCGACAGAGAACATGCACAAATCACCAAGCTAGAGAAGCCTCAAGTATCCTCTCTTAAATGCATGCAAAAGGAATCCTGAAAAGAATGAGAGAAAGAGAAATAGTCAAGCCTGCTTTTAGACTGCACAGACCTGGGCTAACCTGTTAATGTCCTTGGAATCTTTACCCCTAGAAAACAGAGGACAGTTAGTGCCGTAGACTCTGACCAGCTTGGTTTGTGACTCACTCTCCCTACTGGTGGGAAGTAGAATCATGACCGGAAACCTTGATCTTGAGGAGATCAAAAAACACAGAGCAAAGATCAAGAAGAAGGGGAGTAGGAGCAAGAAAAACTCGAGCATCCCTGCCGCAGTAGAGGAGAAAGTTACAAAGGAGTAGAGGTAATCCTGATGCCCAGAAAATGAGCAGAAGCTGGCTGGAAATCATTCTTTTCATAATCACTGCCCTCTTGGGCAGCCTGGCATTCCTGCTAACCTAAAGCCCAGTCCCATTTCTGCCCCCAGGTTGCATGAAATAGCCCTAACATTTGTAATTAATGCCTTAATTTTATTAAACTAGCAGAAAGCAGTTTCTATTATAATCCCAATTTGTAAATGGATATAAACTCTTGCCTTTTGTAAGGCTATGCCAGTGGGTAGTGTGATAAAAATGAATTGGCAAAACTTCTGCCTTTAAAAATTAACAGTAGGGAAGATGGGCAGATAGTTAAAAACCACTGTGTCAAACCACTGAAGGGCTATCATTATCTCCAAGCTTCAGATGAGGGAATTGAGAAGCCAAGTCATTCAATACCTTGCTCAGTGTCCACAACAAGAAATTCAGGGTTGAGCACCTACCAATCACAGAGCACAGGCTAAATCCAGGAGAACCAGGAGGCAATTCCAAAGTGAGCAGCTCGCTTGGCACTGCTCCTATCCAGAGTCTTTGGACCATGGATTCAACATCCTTCCATGGACTCAAATCTCTTTATGTTGGAGATACCTTTGGAGAACAAAATTACAAGTTTCTCAGAGGCATGGCTTATGAGAAATTTAGCTTGCCTGGCTTATGAATAATCAGATGATCCAGTGACTTTTGGGGTGAAATAAGCACTATGCTTAAAATGGAAAAAGTTTAGTGTGTGTAATTAAATTGCTCTGTAAGAATAGCTACAGAAGTTCCATGTGTTTAAATCCACAATTTCATTAATGTTCTGAAGATAATCTAGGGAAGTCATACATCAGTTAGGTGTGGGGCAAATAGCCCTGGGACACAAAAACCCTGAGATCTAATATTGCTCTGAATCATTTTCATAGGATGACTAGGGACAAGCCATTCATTCTTTCTAGAACTCAGTTTTCTCATCAGAAAATGAAAAGATCAGACTGGATGAACACTGGCTCCTTGCAGACATGCTAATTTGTAAATAAAACTTTATACTTATACAGTGTTAAAAATGAGGAATGAGTTCAATGTTGGTGTAATCTATTTTCTTTCTCTCCTCTTTCTAGAAGAACACCAATATGGATCAAGGAAGGATTGAAAGACAGTAAAGGGCACACTAAGACTCTGTACAAAGAGGGAGAGAAGATATAGCCTCTTCCTATGTGTGATTCTCTTTCTTCCTCCCTATGTGGATAGCTGCAGTCATAAATGAGTCCATTAGGACCTGCTATTGATTAATGTGTCCTTGTCCTTGTCCTTGGAAAGTCCTTTGCAAACAAAATAAGTTTGTGGGGCAAGAAAACATAGAATGAGTGGCTCAGGGTGTCTCTACATTATTAGAGAATTTGGGGAGTGTTGTATGTGCCCCCTGAAGTTACAACTGAGATGTAAAGATTGGGAAGATGGAATTACTAGAGAGGATGGAAAGGAATAAAGAGTTTGCAGTTGTTTTGTTTGTCTCCTGCTTGTACCGACAGGACCCAGCACGAGGAGACAGGGAACAAAGAGTTATTTACAAGGTCCTGGAAATTTAGCTTATCTGGAAGCGTGGGTTTAACTGTAATTGTCTGCATTAAGCCTGCTGAGGATACACACTCTTGGTTTCAGAATAGGCCCAAGAATAACCATATTCAAGCGTTTCAATTCTTTCCATTATGAACACAACACCTTAGGGCAGGTTTCTAAGGGCCCTGACAACTTGAATTACTGTCTTTCCCTACTTGCCTGCTTGCGACTGAGCTTACAAGGAAATGACTTTAAACAATGTCACACCTCTTTACCCACAGACACAGTTTACAGGACCTCATTCGCACTCCAATGACAATGAAAGGAAGGGGGTGTTGGGCAGAGAAGCAAAGAGCTCCGGTTCTCACCATCACATGGTAGCGGGTAAGCCCCCCGCAACCTTGGCAAAGTCATTCCCCAGTTCCTGCACTCACTTTCCCTATCTTGGCAAAATGAAGGGCTGGACTAGAAGAGAGAATCTTTCTTTATGAATCTTTCCAATTTTTAACTCCATTCAATTCAACAAACATTTGCAGGGTGGATACTATGTTGCACTCACGGAGCTACACAGCTCCCAGCTGTATAATTTTTTTTTTATTCCATGGAAAACTAGAGTCAGGTAATTTTCATGCAATTTTTAGCATGAAATCACTGGACTGGGAGCCACAAGACCTAGGTTCTGCTTACAGCAACATCATAAAATATTTGTGTGATCTTTACAGTTACATTAGCCATCTGGGTTTCAGTTTCATCATCTGTAAAAGGAGAAGGAAACATGAGCATTATGTTGATAGTTCACAGGCAGTCTGAAGTATTTTGTCATCCACCAGTCTTTTTTTATTTTTTTTATTTTTTTGAGTGGGAGTTTTGCTCTCGTTGCCCAGGCTGGAGTGCAATGGCGAGATCTCGGCTCACCACAAACTCCGCCTCCTGGGTTCAAGCAATTCTCCTGCCTTAGCCTCCCAAGTAGCTGGGATTATCATCATGGGCCACCATGCCCAGCTAATTTTGTATTTTTAGTAGAGATGGGATTTCTCCATATTGTTCAGGCTGGTCTCAAACTCCCGATCTCAGGTGATCCACTTGCCTTGGCCTCCCAAAGTTATGCGATTACAGGCGTGAGCCACCGTGCCCGCCCTCATCCACCAGTCTTATAACCACCATGCACTGAAGGCATATTCTGTGCTACTTGTCAGATAAGAACTGAGGATTTGGAGAAAAATAAATAACCTGTGTAGTTCTTACAATAAATTAGAAAGGGTACTTAGATTTATTCTCTTTTGACTTTGCCTTATTCAGGAAATCTTCCCTGAGGCATAATCAGAATTTTTTCTCCTCCCTCTTTTTCCTGGAATCTTGAGCATTGTTTTAGTAGGAAGTTATTGTACAGCATAGACCTGGTTAATTTACATTCCTGTCTTCCCTTTCAGTCTGGGAGTCCTTGAGGACAGATCTTGGCCACTAGGTTTTCTGTATTTACAATTCTTATACAGGTTCTGCAACCTAGCAGGTGCTCAGTGTAAGTGCTTCCTAGTGATTCCCTGTCACTTATTACTCTATTCCAGGTGTAAGTTTGTTCCCAACATACCAGACAGAGAGCAACTCTCACCAGAGAAGATCCCAATGTGTTTTATGCTAGATCTGACTTTAATTAAGTGTAAGTTGATTAGCTAATTTTACATTTGTTCATTCACTTGGAATATTATAAAGCAAAGCCTCATTCTCCTCTCCTTCCCATTGTAGGTAGACAATGCTCCCATCAGTGCTGGAACTGGCCCCGGTAACTTGCTTTAGCTGATGGAATGTTACCAAACACAACATGATCAAAGGCTTGAGAGATGATTTCCCTCCTGTGCTTCCGCAATTACCATGAAAAGAACATGGCCTGGTGGTCCCTGATCCCCAAAGAATGACGGACACCTGGAAAAAGCTTGGAGTAACAGATTCATGAGCAAGAATAAATAATTATTGTTTTAATTCATTGTGTTTTGAGATAATTTATTATTCAGCACTTTGATAACAAAAGATGACTGATGTGAATAGAAAACCATAGCTGAATCATTCCTTTAGACATCTTGAGGCTTCTCTCTCCATTACCTCTCCAAATTCTAGAGAATATATTTGCTCAATAGAGATTGAGAAAACAAAAAATGTAGGACGTTGGGTACGGAGATTAAGGGCACAGTCATTGCCTTCAAAGAACTCACAGTCATGTAGGAGAGGCAGATAAGTAAATTGATGAATACAGTAAGATGTTACATGTGCTTTGAGAGGCTGAGGCCACACATACATGGGCAGCTATGAATGACCACGTAGAGGGACACCTGAACAAATCTAGCAGGTAAGTGAACTTACTGAAAGCTTTTAAGAAGTGGTGATGTTAAGCTGCGTTTTGACAGATCAGTAAGAAATAATAAAATGTAGAGAGATTAAAGGTGATAAAGCAGAAGGAGTAATATGTGCAGTCTCTTGAGTAAAAGACAGCATGACATGATGAAATACAGAAAACATCTCAGACTTTGAAATCAGAAGGGTAGTGGGTTTACATCTTGACTCCACCACTTACCAACTATACTAATTTGCATAATACTTAGCTTCACTAAGACTCAGTTTTCTTAACTATAAAATGGGAATAGTTTTACACTCCTTGCAAAAGTAGCTGTGAATGTTAGATATAACACAAGCAGAAGAAGACGTGCAGAGGTAGCTAGTGATGAAGAGGAGGGCAGCAAGAGAGTGAAGAGAAAGAGGAGGGGAATAGAGAGCAAGAAGAGGAAAATAATGCAGTTAAGCTTTTCTTGTGCATCAAAGCAAGGAGGTAAATCTGTTGCAGACCCTTTAAAATGGCTTTAGAAAGAAATTAAACAAAATGTTTCTAGCAGAGATGAGTAACCAGCAAGTTTCATTTCTGGTGGAGTGACTCCTACAGAAGCAAACATCTCTAGCCTTCCATAGTGCTTGGAGTGGCACCATGCCTGCTCAGTCAGCTCCCTAATCACCTCTACCATGCTTTGTGAGGGTGTCCCAAGCCCACTTTGATTGGGATCTTCAAAATTTGGAGCATTGTCATGTGAGAAGGAGATTTGGGGTATCGGAATTTAAATTCTCACTGCTCACCTGTGCTACAGTGCTGCAACTTCCCTCCATCTCCAAACACAGCTCTTACCACTCTCCCCCTTACTCACTAGCTTGCACATGCATGGACCATCCTTTGAGTTCTCATAGACACTGAGATTTGCTCTTCCTCAAGGTCTTTGCCTTTGCTGTTTACTCTGCTTAGAATTTTTCTCCAGAGTTTGCATCTTTGTTTTTCACAGCTGACTCCTAGTCAAAACTCAGGTTCTAATTCCAACAATTCCCCCTCAAAGATATTTTTTTCCCTGACAACCCACTTGTGATGATGCATTTCAAAGATAATTTATATGAAATCATGTATTTCAAATGTACACCTTTACTATCTCTTTCCTATTCACACTCAGTCTAACTACATGAGTGAGATCTTCTAAGCCTGAAGCCTAGAAAAATGACTGGAAAACCATAGGTGTCCAATGATTCTGTACACACACACACAGAGAACTAATTGGTATAATGTCTAAGGACACAGGGTCAGCTCAATAAGAGGCTAATTTATCTAACCCAAATCTTCCTCAAAATGGAATGGGGGATATTCATGAAACTCTGAAGCAGAGTATAAAAGGCAAGAACAGGATCTGGATCGGGGTGAGACATGAGGCAAGAGATGTCCCAGAGTGTAATTCATGTAGATTCTTAACTGTCACATTGCCAAATCACATTTTATTGTTTAGATAACATAGAGTTTTTGAACAGTGTATTAATCAGGACTTTTGTTTAAAAAATAAAATCAATCTAGCTATCTCAAGCAGGAAAAGAAATATTTATTATATTACAGCACTCACAGAGCCTCTGAGAGGATCAGATGTCTTGGGATTGGTGTTATACAGCCATTAATAAAGAAGCTAGGACACGACCCTCTGCACACACCATGGGGCTTGTCTAGCAGAAATGCTACTGCCCCCACGGCCATCCTGGGCAACTGACTCTACAACTGGGTACCAGAAATGTCACCAGAGCTGTCTCAGAGTAGGTGATCAGGTTGCTCACTTCAACTTTCAGGTGTCACAGGTGTGCATCTGCTTTGCAGGATCTTGGACCTACATGAAACTTCAGCTGCAAGAGTGTCTAGGTATTGCAGCTCTTCTCTTTTCAACCTCTCCAGTGAAGAAACATATGTCAGGAAACCAGGGGTGGGGGTGAAATAAACCAGCCCACTCTCTTCCACCAGTCTTATCCTCACAAAACATTAGTCCTGGCGGGGATTCCAGAGAGTTTTGCACGGTGTAGAAAGTGGGAATAGATACTTTCTAAGGTATCTTCCAACATTGGGATTCTTTGACTCTCTGGGGCTCAGCTTCTTGAAGACAATATAAGTTAAGGGAATGGTATTATTTTTTATTAAATAACTGTCATGTTTCCCAACACTGAGCCAAGAGTCTTGCCTATATTGATTTATAAAATCCTCTCAGAAATTCCATCAGGTAAGGGATGAAAATTCTACCAGATATTAGTCTGTTCTCACTCTGTGAATAAAGACATGTCTAAGACTGGGTAATTAATAAAGGAAAGAGGTTTAGTTGACTAACCGTTCCAAATGGCTGGGGAAGCCTCACAATCATGGTGGAAGCAAAGGAGGAGCAAAGTCACATCTTACAATGCAGCAGGCAAGAGAGCATGTGCGAGAGAGAGCTCCCCTTTATAAAACCATCAGATCTTGTGAGACTTATTCACTATCAAGAGAACAGCATGGGAAAGACCCATCCCCATGATACAGTTATCTCCAAATGGGTCCCTTTCACAATACATGGAAATTATGGGAGCTACAACTCAAGATGAGATTTGGATGGGGACACAGCCAAACCATATAAAGGACCATCTCTTTTTTTCCACTCACCTTCTGACTTTCTGTCCATATATGTTTCCTGAGCTGGGATTCTCTATTCTAAATGAAGAAAAGTTGATTTCCAGAACTCAGAATACTTATTAAGCAGCATATTTTTCCCTATGTGGGTGCAGGGTTGTTGGCCTTTAAGAGTCAGCACCAGGCCAAGATAGCTGAATAGAAACAGTTCCGGTCTGCAGTTCTCAGCAAGACCAATGCATAAGACGGGTGATTTCCGCATTTCCAACTGAGGTAGACTGTTCGTCTTATTGGGTGCAACCCATGGAGAATAAGCAGAAGCAGGATGGGGCATCTTTTCACCTGGGAAGTGCAAGGAAGTGCACAGAGCCCGGGGACCTCTCTCACAAGGGAAGTGGTGAGGGACTGTGCTACCTGCCCAGGGTACTATGCTTTTCCCATGGATTTTTGCAATCCATGGATCTGGAGATTCCCTTGTGAGCCTACACCACCAGGGCCCTGGGTTTCAAGCACAAAAATGGGCAGCTGTTTGGGCAGGCCCTGAGCTGCAGGAGTTTTTTTCATACTCCAGTGGTGCCTGGAACTCCAGCAAGACAGGAGAACTGTCCACTCTCCTGGAAAGGGGGCTGAAGCCAGGGAGCCAAGTGTCCTCACTCAGTGGGTCCCACTCCCACAGAGTCCAGCAAGCTAAGAACCACTGGCTTGAAATTCTCACTGCCAGCACAGCAGTGTGGAGTTGTCCTGAGACAATTGAGTTTGGTGGGGGTAGGTTCAACTATAACTACTGTGGCTTTAGTAGGCAGTTTTCCCCTGACAGTGCTAAGGAGACTGTGAGGTTTGGACTGGAGAGAATTCACCACACAACAGCAAAGCAGAGACACGAAAAGCCCTTCAAAAATTAAATGAATCCAGGAGCTGATTCTTTTTTTAATAAATGAACTAAATAAATAGACAACTAGTGAGAATAATAAAGAAGAAAAGAGGGAAGAATCAAATAGACACAATAAAAAATGATAAGTGGGATATCACCACTGACCCCACAGAAATATAAACCATGATCAGAGAATACTATAAACACCTCTATGAAAATAAACTAGAAACTCTAAAAGAAAAGAATAAATTCCTGGACATATACACCCTCCAAAAACTAAACCAGGAAGAAGTCGAATCCCTGAATAAATCAATTACAAGTTCTGAAATTGAGACAGTAATTAATAACCCACCAACAAAGAAAGCCCAGGACTAGACGGATTCACAGCCGAATTCTACAAGAGGTACAAAAAGGAGCAGGTACCATTCTTTCTGAAACTATTCCAAACAATTGAAAAGGAGGGACTCCTCCCTAACTCATTTTATGAGGCCAGCATCATCCTGACACCAAAACCTGGCAGAGACACAACAAAAAAAGAAAACTTCAAGCCAATATCCCTGATGAGCATCAATGCAAAAATCCTCAATAAAACACTGGCAAACCAAATCCAGCAGCACATCAAAAAGCTTATCCATTATGATCAAGTCAGCTTCATACCTGGGATGCAAGGCTGGTTCAACACATGCAAATCAATAAATGTAATCCATCACATAAACAGAACCAATGACAAAAACCACATGATTATCTCAATCAATGCAGAAAAGGCCTTTGATAAAATTCAACAGCCCTTCAGGCTAAAAACTCTCAATAAACTAGGTATTGAGGGAACATATCTCAAAATAATAAGAGCTATTTATGACAAACCCATAGTTAATATCATACTGAATGGGCAAAAGCTTGAAGCATTCCCTGTGAAAACAGGCACGAGACAAGGATGCCCTCTCTTACCACGCCTATTCAACATAGTATTGGAAGTTCTGGCCAGGACAATCAGGCAAGAGAAAGAAATAAAGGGCATTCAAATAGGAAGAGAGGAAGTCAAATTGTCTCTGTTTGCAGATGACATGATTCTATATTTAGAAAACCCAATTGTCTCAGCTCAAAAACCCCTCAAGCAGATAAGCATCTTCAGCAAAATCGCAGGATACAACATCAATGTGCAAAAATCATAAGCATTCCTATACACCAAGAATATAGACAAGCAGAGAGCCAAATCATGAATGAACTCCCATTCACAATTGCTACAAAGAGAATAAAATACTTAGGAATACAGCTTATAAGGGATGTGAAGGACCTCTTTAAGGAGAACTACAAACCATTGCACAAGGAAATAAGAGGGGACATAAAAAAATGGAAAAACATTTCATCTTCATGGATAGGAAGAATCAATATCATGAAAATGGCCATACTGCCCAAAGTAATTTATAGATTCAATGTTATTCTCATCAAACTACCACTGACATTCTTCACAGAATTAGAAAAAACTACTTTAAATTTCATATGAAACAAACAAAAAAAATGCCCATATAGCCAAGACAATTCTAAGCAAAAAGAACAAAGCTGGAGGCATCATACTACCTGACTTCAAACTATACTACAAGGCTACAGTAACCAAAACAGCATGGTACTGGTACCAAAACAGACATATAGAAGAATGGCATGGAACAGAGACCTCAGAAATAACATCACACATTTACCACCATCTGATTTTCAACAAACCTGACAAAAACAAGAAATGGGGAAAAGATTCCCTATTTAATAAATGGTGCTGGGAAGCTGGCTAGCTATATGCAGAAAACTGAAACTGGACCTCTTCCTTACATTTTATACAAAAATTAATTCAAGATGGATTAAAGACTTAAATGTAAAACCCAAAACCATAAAAAACCCTAGAAGAAAACCTAGGCAATACCATTCAGGACATAGGCATAGGCAAAGACTTCATGAACAAAACACCAAAAGCAATTGTAACAAAAGCCAAAATTGACAAATGGGATCTAATTAAACTAAACAGCTTCTACACAGCAAAAGAAACTAGCATCGGTGTGAACAGGCAACCTACAGAATGGGAGAGAATTTTTGCCATCTACCCATCTGACAAAGGTCTAATATCCAGAATCTACAAAGAACTTAAACAAATTTACAAGAAAAATAAACAACCTCATCAAAGTGTGGGCAAAGGATATGAACAGAAACTTCTCAAAAGAAGACATTTATATGGCCAACAAACATATGAAAAAAGGCTTATCATCACTGATCATTAGAGAAATGCAAATCAAAACCACAATGAGATACCATCTCATTCCAGTCAGAATGGCAATTACTAAAAGTCAAGAAACAATAGATGCTGGTGAGGCTGTGGAGAAATAGGAATGCTTTTACCCTGTTGGTGGGAATGTAAACTAGTTCATTTACATTCCACCATTGTGGAAGACAGTGTGGCGATTCCTCAAGCATCTAGAACCAGAAATACCATTTGACCCAGCAATCCCATTACTGGTATATACCCAAAGGAATATAAATCATTCTACTATAAAGACACATGCACACACATGTTTATTGCAGCACTATTTACAATAACAAAGACATGGAACCAACCCAAATGCCCATCAATGACAGACTGGATAAAAGAAGTGTGGTACATATACATCATGGAATACTATGCAGCCATAAAAAAGAATGAAATCATGTCCTTTGTAGGGACATGGATGAAGATGGAAGCTATCATCCTCAGCAAACTAACACAGGAACAGAAAACCAAACACTGCATGTTCTCATTCCTAAGTGGGAGTTGAACAATGAGAACACAAGGACACAGGAAGGGGAACAACATGCACCAGGGTCTGTCAGGGTTGGGGCGCAAAGAAAGGGAGAACATTAGGACAAATACCTAATGCATGAAGAGCTTAAAACCCAGATGATGAGTTGATAGGTGCAGCAAGCCACTGTGGCACATGCACATCTATGTAACAAACCTGCACATTCTGCACATGTATCCCGGAACTTAAAGTAAAATTAAATTAAATTAAGTTAAAAATGTCAGC
The DNA here is from genome assembly GCF_000001405.40 of Homo sapiens. Classification (NCBI taxonomy): domain Eukaryota; kingdom Metazoa; phylum Chordata; class Mammalia; order Primates; family Hominidae; genus Homo; species Homo sapiens. The sequence continues at coordinate 136,230,361 of NC_000008.11, read as the reverse complement.
ACCACTCCCTCCCTTGCATTCTTTGTTCTGATAATGAATTCCCACCTAAAGGAGATTTCTCTGTGCATGTTCTGGGCACGTAAACTTCCAGCAATTTGAGACAGTGCTTACTTCCTCTGAACATACTCAGCCATTTGTCTAATGCTTCTACGTGTATCATATCCTCTTTGGAAGTGAAACTTTGTGGGTAAATCAATGAAAAGAAAGAGAAAAGGCATTTCCAGTTAGACCTCAAGCCTCAACAACGTTCTGTGAGTCAGCTTTACCCAAGAGTTCCTCATTTGTAGTGTTAATAATTTGACCAGATGCTAATTGAGAGGTCCTGTCTCTCTGTGAATGTGTCCTTCATATGAGAATTCTACAGTAAGGAAAAGTGAATGGTAGAATACAGGCTTCCAAATGTCACATGGAATCCTTAAAAGTTGATGTTGTATTATACTGTGTCAACGTCATTTCCCTGTGATATTGTGATGTTGTAATAGTTATATAAAATGCCATCATTGAAGGAAATGTGATCAAAGGTAAACAAGACCTCTCTGTTGTATGTTTGTAATTTCTTTTAATTCTATGATTAGTTTAATATTTACAAATATTTAATGAGGGTGTCAAAATCAGCCACAAAAATGTCACAATCATTTGCCTTTTCCAGTGCAAGGAGGGCTCAAACTTTAAAGAACAAAAGGGTCTATTTTCCACTTCTTCCGGAAAGGGAGATATTTTCATTACTTCCTGATCACATGCACCGGACAGACAGAGAAGTTGTTTCCAAATTAAAGTAGGTGACATTTTCAAAAAAAGAAAAAGTAGATATGTTGTGTCTACAATTGTAGAAATAGAAGCTGTACATTGCTACATAACTTATTCAAAATCATAGTTTAAAAGTGACTATGTTTGGATTCAAACTTGTATATTTCTTTATCTTTTTCACTCATTCTAACCTGAGAGTGAAGGTATGGAATGCAGACAGCTCTTCCCTATCTGTCTGGAAGGATGCCCAGATAATATTATCCATGACATTCAGGGAAGGATGAAGCCCAGGAAAGCCAACTGCACAGCTTCCAAGGGAATTGCTCATAGCCAGGAGTCTTTGATCCCTGAGAGCATCTGGACCAGAACATCAGGAGCATTTTTCTCTGTCAGAGTTATTTCAGAAGTCTGTTTATGAGCCATGCGGCAGCCACATCTTGCCAAAAATAAAGCAGTGTGAACACTTGTAGATTGTAAATGTGAGTCCAACAGCCACCTCTATGATTTGTGATAATGCCGTTGACTCGCAGATACTATTGTTCCACAGAGGGCTTTGACAGATTGTAGAAGGAGAAAGCAGCCAAAAGTAAGACGTGATCTGAGGAACTGGAAGAAAAAACAAGTCCTTGCTCCATTAAAAACTAAAACACCCTGTAATCAAGTCTTTTTTTAGAGAAACCTTGCCCTAGGGATGTCTGTTCAAATGGAAATATATTGCATGGGTGGAAGAGAGGGCTTACAAATCTATGAGATTTAAGTTAACATCTAGTTTATAGGCATATTGTCTTAATATGTTCAGTATTTAAACTCAGGAGAAATAGGACCTTGAAAAGATTTTGATTAGAAAATGTGGACAGAAGGGGGAAGTAGGGAAGTTCAGTTGCTAAAGAAAGAATAAGAAGGATGAGTTAGGAAATATGGTTTCATGACCTTCTTCCATCCCTGTGAGACCTAGAAGTCCCTACTCACTCTCTTTTATGCCACATCATCATGGAACAGTTGTGAAGATCAATAAACTAATATACATGAAAATAATGTATAAAAGGTAAATAATGATACAAATTTAAACAACTAAAATACTTAATTTTTTGGTCAGGATGTGGTAGCTCATGCCTGTGATCCTAGCACTTTGGGAGGCCAAGGCAAGAGGATGGCTTGAGCTCAGGAGTTCGAAACCAGCCTGAGCAACATGGCAAAACCCCATCGCTACAAAAAACACAAAAATTTGCAGGTATAGTGGCATGCACCTGTAGTTCCAGCTACTCGGGAGGTGGAAATGGGAGGATGGCGTGAGTGGCGAGGCGGAGGTTGCAGTGAGCTGAGATGGTAGCACTGCACTCCAGCCTGGACAACAGAGTAAGAACCTGTCTCAATGAAAAAATAAAATACTGAGTTTTTTGGATACATACTGTGTGTCTGATGGTGTGTTGTCACTTGGGTGATGTCTCTAAGGACACCATCCATTCCTGTGCTCAATGTATTCTCACATGTTGTTCCACAGATATAGATAATGGGCTTCCCACAGATATAGACAGACAGACAGACAGACAGATAGATAGATAGATAGACAGACAGACAGACAGACAGACAGATAGATAGATTTGCTTCCTTCTCTTATTCATTAAGTTCTTTGCTTAAGTCAGTTCCTCAGAGAGTTTTCCTAGGCCATCATGTTGAAAATTAAAATCGCACAAATCTCTCTCCCACTTTCCTGCTTTGTTTAGTTCCATATTTATAATTCAATTTTTCAAATTTAATTTTATAAATAAGGGAACTGAGGTCAGTAGCATTTTTCTGTATAATACTATGGCTGACATTTACTGAGCACTTACTATGTGTCAAGCTCTAATACAGGCACTTAAAATATTTTAACCCGTTAACACAAGTCTGATTCATTTGCCACCATAATTTCTTCTTTAAGCGATTGTATTAGTCCATTTGTATACTGCTATAAAAAACCGCCCGAGACTGGGTAACCTATAAGGAAAGAGGATTAATTGGCTTGCAGTTCAGCATGGCTGTGGAAGCCTCAGGAAACTTACAATCGTGATGGAAGGCAAAGGGGAAGCAAGGAGCCTTCTTCACAAGGTAGCAGGAAGGAGAATGAAAGCAGGAGGAATTATCAAACGCTTACAAACCCATCAGATCTCATGAGAACTCAATATCATGCACAAGAACAGCATGGGAGAAAGCCCTCCCATGAATCAGTTACCTCCACCTGGCTTCTTCCTTGACAGGGGTATTATGGGGATTATAGCAATTACAATTCAAGATGAGATTTTTGGTGGCGACACAGCCAAACCACATCAGCTATTAAACTATAAAAGGTGGAATGCATCAAAGACCAACTTCACCTGTTTTATAAATTTGGCAGAGGCAAGGTATGATAGATGGTGATGAGTCATGGCTCTTTACTTTCCTAACTTTCCCACCTAACTCTGTCTCATTGCCTGTAGCACCAAAAAACCCAGCACTGCGTTTGGCATGCCATTAATGTCAGGGTCATTGAATTAAATTCATACATGGTCATCAAATGAGAAAAAGAAGATACATTGACTGTAAATAAGCCTGTACCATGCCTAGCACCTTGTAGCAAAATATAATAATTTGCATTATAATTAAGCCCCTCTGTGAATCTGGCACTGCATTCTCTACTTTCAGATGCATGATTTCATTTGAACCTAGCACTAACCGTATCAATAGATATGGTGATCTACCTTCTTTTAAATTAGGATTCTGATATTCACAGGGGTGAAGTCATAAGCTGGAAGAAAGCAGAGTTATTCAAACCAGCTCTGTCTCTATGCCTAACTTTTTAAATTCTACGTTTGTTTTTCCTTTGTGAAAATTCAGATTCAAGCAGACTCTAACGCCATCTCCTTCACTGGTCTTGATGTCTTTGAACAGAACATAATCTGCCAAAGAAAATCCAGTTCACATTTCTTTTTTTTTTTTTTTTTTTTGAGACGGAGTTTCGCTCTGTCGCCCAGGCTGGAGTGCAGTGGCGCGATCTCGACTCACTGCAAGCTCCGCCTCCCGGGTTCACGCCATTCTCCTGCCTCAGCCTCCTGTGTAGCTGGGACTACAGGCACGCGCCACCATGCCCGGCTAATTTTTTTTTGTATTTTTAGTAGAGACGGGGTTTCACCGTGTTAGCCAGGATGGTCTCGATCTCCTGACCTCGTGATCCGCCCGTCTCGGCCTCCCAAAGTGCTGGGATTACAGGCGTGAGCCACCGCGCCCGGCCCCAGTTCACATTTCTTGCTTGGCAATCTCCTCAACGTTCACTCAGCAGAAAACACTGATTTCGTGCTCTGTGCCAGGTGATATGCTAAGTACTGCGGAAATAAAGATTATTTATAACCCGTTACTACTGTCAAGAGGTCTTCAACCTAATTAAAGAGATTATTACACATAAAGAAATTTTGATGCAATGTGGTCCATATGTTTAGTGAAGATGTTCCAGGCATGGGTGTAGTCCTAAAGAGATTAGCCTGGTCTTGATGCTTCGTCTGATGCACAATTCTATGACTTCTCTTCCAGTCACCCAGCTCCCTCCCTCCATCCACTTTAGAAAAAGTCATGACTTAATAATGCATGAGAGAACATTACCTTAAGGTATAATTATGCTTTTCCACAAATGACCTATGCAATTACACCAGAGTGGTGAACAGCAATTGCAGAGGGAAGTTGGAACAAGTGCACGGGGATATAATATTACAAAATGATCCCTGTTTCAATTTTCCTTCTCATAACTATATAAAAATTACATTTGCTTTTATCACAGAGATGTGCAGTAAGAAATAAAAAAGAACCATTAGGTTATCCACTCTCATCTCCTACTAGAAAGTTTTTTTTTTTTTTTTTTTTGGTCTGTGATAGGCTTTCTAGGGACTTTATTCTATTCAATTATTCCAAGATAATAAGGGTAATGGTGAAGGAGGGAAAGGCACCTCACTGCTCAGTGTTTATACTTTGTAAATCTGCATGTGAGACTCAAGATTTGTCACCACTATGGCCAGAATATGTATGGATGGAGGCCAGAGCCAATGGTAGGAATCAATCCAGGAGACCCAAGGCAAGTCTTGGATTATAAAAACAGAGGCAATATTAGAGTTAGAATAAGCAATCAGTTGAATAAAAGAAAGGGCTATTTAATAATCATGTGCAGTTTCTGATCAAACCAAGGGTTTGAGATAGGCATGGTTGAGGTTAACATGGGTATAGATATAATATGGATGTACATATAAATATTTTATAAAGTTTTAATCCTATCCCCAAAGTCTTCTAATTTTTTTAATTTAATATTATTGTTGGGCATTAAAGTCAGTTCCAATTTTTATCTTTTTTCCTCCTTTAAATATAATTATAATGAGCATCTTTGAGTAAGGAGCTAAAAATTGTTTATCCGTTTTAACTCAGTAAGCCACATTTGGAGATTTTTTTTTTTTTTTTTTGACACGGAGCCTCACTCAGTTGCCCAGGCTGGGGTGCAGGGACGCAATCTCGGTTCACTGCAATCTCTGCCTCCCGGGTTCAAGCAATTCTCCTGCCTCACCCTCCTGAGTAGCTGGGATTACAGGCCCCCACCACCATGCCCGGCTATTTTTTGTGTGTGTGTGTTTTCAGTAGAGACAGGGTTTTGCCATATTGGCCAGGCTGGTTTTGAACTCCTGACCTCAGGCAATCCACCCGCCTCGGCCTCCCAAAGTGTTGGGATTACAGGCATGAGCTACCACACCCCTCCAGAGATATAATTTTAAAAGAAAATAAGATATAAAGATTATGTATTGTTTTATTCCAAGTGTGTGTGTGTGTGTGAGAGACAGTGTGTGTGTGTGTGTGTGTGTGTGTGTCTCAGGATTCAAAATTTTTGTCTGATTTCAAAGCTTAAGCCATTAATTTTGCCGTATGACTAGTCTATGTGAAACATTTGTTTAAAAATAAATATATAAGAGATTGAAAAAGATGCTGACCTGTGTACATTCTTGCCTAAAGCAAAAAGCTGCTTTTTGATCACAGTGATATTTAGGAAAGTGTATAGACTCAGGACCCAATGAACTTGTTTCACTCACTGCCCCAAATGCTTACCAGCATGGTAAACTTAAAGGAGACGTAATTTCCCTAATTATCAGGTTCTATATCTGGGATTAAAAAAAATGTTATAACCTGACATTATCTGTGCAAAGTACCATATAAAAGTTCTAGGTACAAACTTGAAACCCAACAAAGCTAATCCTTGTTCACCCCTTCCAGGTCCCCAGATAATGCTATTCCTTGTATCCATGCATTTATTCATTTGTTTATTTCATTTCAGTTAATCATACTCTCAGCTTCACTGGTCCTTGCAAATTTCCTATTTTGTTTTTTACATTTATCCTTTTTATAACCAAAGGTAATTTGTTCTTTCTAACTGCTACATAAATTTATACTTGTGTAATTTAATTTATTCTTCCTTTTCTAGCTTCTTACGGTGAAAGTTTAGATAATTGATTTTATATAGCTCTTCTTTCCTAGGAATTTAAAATTATTCATCTGTTCAATTCAATTGGAAGTGTGTTTCTTTAAATTCCAAAGGTTTAGAGATTTTCCAGATATTTTAAATTGGTTTTTAATTTAATTATATTACTATAGAACTTACTCTACATTATTTCAGTTATTTTAAATGAGATTTATTGAGTTGCTCATATTTCGCCTACCTTGGTGAGTATTCCATGTTCCCTTAAAAATAACTATCATTTAATTATTATTGTGTGGTAACAACATCAATCAAGTCAAGCTGAATTATGGCATTATGTAAATTTTTTATATTACTGAATTTCTCTGTACTTACACATTAGTTACTGTGTCAAAATTTCCAACTATGGTTGTAGACTTTATATTTTTCCTTTATATTCATTATTTTTATTTATATGTTTTAAACTCTGTTATTGGGTGTAAACAATTTAATATTGTTATATCTTTCTGATAATTTTGACTCTTTTGTCATTATAAAATATCCTTCCTTATCTTGGTTTGTATTCTGAAATTATTTTGTCTAATATTGTTATAATCATTACAGTTTTCTTATAATTAATCTTTCTCCAGTGGGTAATTATTTTCCATCATTTCACTTTAATCTTGGTCTGTATATTTAAAAAGGATTTCTGATCAACAGAAAATACTACATGTTGACTGCTTTTAATTTATTTTGACCATCTAAGCCTTTTAATTCAGGTGTTCAGATTATTTGTGTTTGATGTAGATATTGATATAATTTGGTTTAAAACTACCCACTTGTTATTTGTTTTCTGTTTGTCCCATCTGCTCTATCTTAGTGAATGTTCCATGTTCATTTGAGAAGAGCGTATGCTGTTTTTGTGGGATATAGCATTACATAATTTTCAATAGGTCAAGCAGATTGATAGCATTAATGAAATTTTGTATTTCTTACATTATTTTCATCTTTATCATGTTTCATATACTGGGAAATTTTTCCATTTTTATTTTCTGAATGCTTTTAAGGTTTTCTCATTTTCTTTTGATTTCGGGTGTTTCAAACCATGACATGCCCAAGTTTGTGTTTTTTTTTGCTTTTGTGTTTTTTTATGCTTATTAGAATATTCTGAGCTTGGATCTGTGGGGTTTTTTTAAATTAATTTCATGTTAGTATTGACTACTATATCCTCTATTCCTCTATGCTTTCTATTGATCCTTCCTCTCTTTTAACTCCTTCTGGGACTGCAATTACACATGTTTTGGAAAATTTAATATTTCCTCACAGATCTCAAATGTGCTGTCATTTTTCTTTATACTTTTTACTTTTTATTTCTGTTTGGATAATTTCTATTAGCTAATCTTAATGTTCACTAATTATTTATATTGCTTTATTCAGTATGCTGATTATCCCATTAAAATAATTCTTCATCTCAGATAGCATGATTTTATATCTGGCAATTTCATTTGGTTCTCTTTTTCCTAGTCTCTGTCTTTCTGCTGAAGTAACCCACCTGTTCAAATATGTCTTCTACCTTTCAATTTTTATTATAGTTACTTTAAATTACTTGACTAACAAATTTGTACAGTCTCATCTCTGGGTCTGGTTCTATTGATTATTTTGTCTTTTGATGAGGTGTCATATTTTCTTGCTTTTTTGTCTTTTTTAAAAATTTGAATGTCAAAAATTATATGTCAAGAACAGTAAGACTGAGGGAAATATTTCCTCCAAGAAAAGAAAATTCCTCTTTTTACACCATATAGTTAGTGAGGGGGTTTGGATGAATCTAGTATATCAATAAGCTGAATGCATTATTGATGCTTTACTTATATTTAGGACAGCACAAGCTTACGTGACTCCAATAGTAGACCACTACTGCTGTCTGCTTAATGTTAGTCCTAGGATTACGGAGGAACTTTCTCTGATTTCTCCATTACACATCTAAAAATGTTTTGGTGGGATTTGTTTCTCAATTTTTATTTTAGACACAGGAGGTAAATGTACAGATTTGTAACTTAGATATATTGCACTTAGATAGTAAGCGTAGTACCTAAATAGGTAGTTTTTCAACTTATGACACGCCTCTCTCCTTCTCCCCTCTAGTAGTTTGCAGTGTGTCTATTGTCTCTATGTTTATGTCCATGGGTGCTCAATGTTTGGTTATCATTTACACGTGAAAACATGCAATACTTCATTAGCGAGAACATGCAGTACTTTGTTTTCTTCTCCTGTGTTAATTCACTTAGAATTATGGTCTCTGGCTCTATCCATGTTGATGTGAAAGACATGATTTTATTCTTTATTACAGTTGGGCAGTATTCCACAGTGTATATTTACCACATTTTCTTTTTCCAATTCATCGTTGATGGGCTTCCATATTTATTCCATGTCTTTGCTATTATGCATAGTGCAGCAATAAGCATAAGAGTGCATGTGTCTTTTTAGTATGGTGAGCTAATTTCCCTTTGGCATATACCCAGTAATGGGACTGCTGGGTTGAATGGTAGCTCTGTTTTAAATTATTTGAGACATTTCCAAACTGCTTTCCACAGTAGTTGAACTGAGTATTTAGGAATAATGTTGAGTCTGTAAACAGTTGAAAACAGGTCACTGGAAAAGATATGTAAATAGCAAATAGCACAATAAAAGATGCTCATTATTATTAATATTTATTAGAGAATTACAAATTCAATCCACAATGATATACTGATACACAGATTCTAGCATGGATAATTTTTTTTTTTTTTGAGATGAATTCTCACTCCGTCTCCAAGGCTGGAGTGCAATGGCACGCTCTTGGCTCACTGCAACCTCTGCCTCCTGAGTACTTGGGATTACAGGCATGTGCCATCATGCCCGGCCAATTTTTGTATTTTTCATAGAGACGGAGTTTCACTATGTTGGCCGGGCTAGTCTCGAGCTCCTGACCTCAGGTGATCCACCCGCCTCAGCCTCCCAAAGTGCTGAGATTACAGGCCTAAGCCATCACGCCCGGCCTGGGGAACATTTTAAATACTCATATCCCAAGGCTCTACCTCCAAGATTCTAATTCCTTAGGTCTTATTACCTATGTTTTTTAATGCAATGCTTGGGCAATAAATGCAGGTATTTTCAAGACCACATTTCAAAAAATATTCATCTACATACATTGACCTAGTAATCCCAAATCTTGCTGCTATACTCTTGGAGGGGCTTTTCTCTTAGGTTCCCAGATATAATTTTATATCAATGATAGAGGGTGACTCAAAATCAAATTCATAAGAACTTTAGGGGCTTGGTCTTACATCCCAGATATTCTGACATTACTCCTATGCATTTTAGCTAAATCACATTTTTCACAATCTGATTATGAACAGGCACTGATGACAATAATGAGAGCTTCTACTCATTTAACAGTATCCATTACTGTCTGCTTAGAAGAGTGTTACTTCAAGTAGAACCATCTATCAATTGCTTTTAGAGTATTATTCTTACTTTTCTTCATACAAAATGTAAATGGAGCTTATTTTTAGCTAGGAGCAAACAATGAATCTACAGGACACATGGAATAGGAAGAAATTCTACACCTGTGCTGCTTCCCATAAATCCAATTGCAGTAGAAATAGACATAGCAAATTTGGAATTTGTGCAAGGTAAATCTAAAAATTAAATAAACTATCTACCTCTCTGATGGAAGTTAGTTTAGTCCTGAAGTTAAAAGAACACTGAAAAGGGAGGAATCTGACATTTGTCAATCTTATTCATTTCCCTCCTCATTATTTTCTCCCCCTTCTCTTTCTGTTCCTTCTCTTATTGTAACTGTAGTTCACAAAGTGCTTTTGTCATGAATGCTCCATTTATCACTCATAATAACACTATATCATATGCAAAGCAAGTACCATAGTTGAGGGAATAGAAACTAAGGGGGTAAGTGAATTGCTAAAGTTATGCAGTGAGTGAGAGGCAGAAAAGATATTCAAGGCAAAAAAAAAAAAAAGATATTCAAACCAAAGTCATTTGCTCCAAATCCATTGTTAATATATCTTGCAAGTAGGATTTTAATCTTTTAGAAAATGTTACAATTAAAAATAAAGTATCCAGTGCTATGGCACAAAAATACAACTTGTTTTCTGGGAAAAAATAGAGTTGTGATGAGTGTCAGTGTTCAGGGACAGGATGAGGGTATTAGATTACATGCTTTCATAGCACAGGATGATGTCAGATGATGTCAGATGATGGATGCTCCCAACTGAGTATCTGAAGATCACACAAGGTTGGCACAATAAACAATTACCAAAGTAAGGATGTAACCCAAATCACTGCCACTGACAACTCCATAATTTTTATGATGGCCTCCCAGCAAGCCACCTTAAGTCAGTCATTACTCACTGTTCAGCTGTGTCAAAGGTGAAAATGATTGTGCTTCTGACCTCTGAAATCATCTCAAGGCTGCTCCGAACTAGGGTCTTACTTACATCTTCCATGAATGTTGATCTAAAGCCTAAGTTGTTACTATTACCAAGGAAAGATTCGAATCTCTCTGTATTATTAAAAAATGCTTAAATATAAAGCAAAAATCAAAATTGAAATGCCAAAAACAGACATATAACTAAATAACAGCTCCCAATTACTAAATAGTCAACAAGTATTAACAAAAATGTGCAAAATATACTCCTTATCCTTACAATGCACTTTGGGGTCTTTGAAGCTACCTCCAATATGATATAAAGCAACTGGGGATCCAAACGTCTAAGTTGCTTGCTCAAGGTCAAATATCTGATAAGGGAAATTAATATAATTTAAGCTCAAATCTGATTGCAGAACATTTTATTATATTGCTTCTCAGAGCAAGGAGCAAGCTAATTAGTATCAATTGAAATGAGGTACATGATATTCATCAGAGAAGAAGTCAGCAAAAATAAACTAAACAGAAAAAAATGGCTCATATTTGTAAGTCGTGGAGACCAAGACACCAAGGCAAGGTAATGGCAAACTCTTCTACCCAGAGAACACATTTTTGGATTCCATTCTGTAAGTTAGGTTTGGATGTGACTTTATTCCCTCACAGGGTCTTTAAGTCTGACCAAGGTAATACTTGGAAAGACAGAAGCAGGCTCAGATTCCCCAGCAAAGGCCTGGGAGGGTCAGGGTTAAGTCTCCTCATCAAAAAGTCATAGGATTACTGACTGGTCACGGTGGCTCACACCTGTAATTCCAGCACTTTGGGAGGCTGAGGCAGGTGGATCACTTGAGGCCAAGAGTCTAAGGCCAGCCTGGCCAACATGGCAAAACTCATCTCTATTGAAAATACAAAAATTAGCCATGTGTGGTGGTGGCATATGCCTGTAGTCCCAGCTACTCGGACGGCTGAGGCAAGAGAATCACTTGAACCCAGGAGGTGGAGGTTGCAGTGAGCCAAGATATTGGCACTGCACTCCAGCCTGGGCAACAGAGAGAGAGAGAGAGGAGATAAACAGAAAAGCAGAGTTTTTAATTTTTTAAAAAATAAATTATATACTTTTTTGGCATACAATTCAGAATTTGCACACAATTCTGATTTCTTTAAGGAGCATTTTCAGGCCTGAATCTATGACTTTTTTAAAAAAAGTATATAATTTATTTGTTTAAAAATTAAAAGTGTGTGTGTGTGTCTGTGTGTGAATTTGTATGTGTATAAACATGTAAATAACTTATATTTAATACAGGCTACTTTTTATGTCAAATAGGATAATGATTTAATAAATATACAAGGTTTGATTTCTTAACAACTACTTTACAGAAATTTTATTAAATGTATACATACACTTTTTTAAATAAATTAAATAATACAAAAAGGTGATGATAATAAAAAACAGCGACAGCCCATCCAAATTCAGTCTCCAGTTTCAACAGCTTTGAATTATTTCTTCCTGTGATTTCCAAGTTTTTCTGTACAGTATGTGTATACGTACTGTAAAGACATACAGTATGTGTATACTACTGTAAAGACATACAGTATGTGTATACGTAAAGACATACCATATGTGTATACATACTGTAAAGACATACCATATGTGTATACATACTGTAAAGACATACAGTATGTGTATACGTACTGTAAAGACATACAGTATGTCTTTACTGATTAGTTCTGTTTGTCATATATTGAGTATTTTTTTATGATTTTTATGTTAATTGCTTTGTACTTTCACCCCCTTCTCCCATTCTCAAAATTTTTTATTTTAAAAATTGTCAAATAAAAATTGTCTATATTTAAAGAAAAAAGAGAACAGAATTGAGAAAATAAAATTATGGTCCTAGGAAGGAGGCAGGCTGGCCACATATAAGAAAGGTAGCCAGAAAAGTCGCCTGCCTCACCAGGCTCCTGTGGGTTCTCTGAAGCTCAACTCAGCCTGGCACGACTGACCCTAGGAGGAGGGTGGCAAACATTTCCAAAATCATAGCCATGAGTAGGAAAGAAACTTCTTACATCACTACCCACTGGCTGAGAGCTAAAAATCAGAGCCAAGCAGTAGCAAGCTCATTGGTGACAGACCTCTGGATCCTAAAATGAGCAGCAGACAGGGATTCTGGCAGCAGACAGCAGGCTGGGGTGACAAGACAGCCACTGACAACTAGAAATCAGAAAGGTGTTTTGGTCTGGGTTGTCCCAGAAGCAGATCTAGACAAGACCTGGAATGCAAATAGTACATATTTTTGGTTGTGGAGTTGGGGAAGAATTCCAAGAAATACGGGTGGGAATCAAAAAGTGACATAGGGAAGCAAAACAATTCAATACAAGGTGCATTATTAAGCAAGTTGCTCCTATAGGATACCAGAGCGTAATTTCACTAAATAAATGAGGGATATAGTGTAGAACATACTTCTTCATTATCCCCACCAAGGCGGGAGGGCACTAGGGCATTTACACATTAATTCCTTGCCTGGTAGTGGTTGAGGATGGATCTTGAAGACACTAACCCTCCAACAAATGTGGCTTGTCATTGCTGTCACGGCCAGATAAAATCCCCATAGCCGTATGGAATAAAGCGACTTCAGAGTTTAGAGGTGTTTGCTTAGGGGATATGGGCAAGGCACCAACAGCATCTACTGCAGTGAATACCTCTGAGTACTTTTCCACTATTTCACTTACTCAGCAGAGTGGTATAGAAAAAAAAAATGTGTGAGCTCTGCCATAAAATAGACATGAGTTTGATCCCACTTCAGCCATAATAACTTTGTAGCCAAAATTCTCTCAAACCAGAATTAGCCTACATTACTCTACATGATCCACTAAATCAATAAAACTAGGATCAAATACGTCATCATGAACACAATTGACTCCGTAAGCGCAGCATCTGGTCACAGATTAGTTCTATGTTAAAGAGAGGAGCTGAGTACTATTTAATCAAAAAATGTTCCATTCTTTCAACAAATTACATACTGCCTGTCTTAACTTTTCATTAATAGTTTCTCATTAAGAAAGTTGTAAGAAATGCATGTGCCATGTCAGGCTCTTGTGGAGGTGAGAGATGATATATTTTAAGTACATTGCACAATACTTGGTACACAGTAAACACTCAAAATATGTCTGGTATTGGTTCCTTTTTTCAATCATTTAAAAAATAATAAGAACAAATGTTTTTGAGATGTCCCATGTTCCAGGAACCAGGCTTGAGTGTGGAAATATACAGGAGTATGTATATGGTTGTCCTTGACAGGCACAAACAATTAGGGAGATATAGTAAGCACTAAAATTTTTTAGAAGAAGGAGAGAATTCTTCCAGTTGAACAAACTGTAAGACTAAATATTCCGATGAGGAAATTTATAAGGATTTTTGAAATACAATATGTTGTTTCATCAGCTTCAAGATAACAGGTCCCTAGGCTGTTTTAATTGCTGTATCGCTGGTGGAGAGGACAAGGCCTTACCCATAGTCCAATACTCAATAAATATGTACCAACTAAATGACTGTGAAGAACACAGAAAGTGCTTTCAAACAGAGATAATGACTTGGGCAAGTAAGAGGAGGCAGAAAAGAATCAGGTGCAAAGATGATATTGAATGATCAAGTTCAGCTGCAACCCTACATCCATGGAGATAAGAGGTAATGATTCAGCCTGGAAGAGTAGTTGAAGTGAGACTAGCAGAAAACCTTGAATATCGGTCCAAGGTGCTTGGATTTTTGTAGACAAAGTGAAGCTACTGAAGGTGGGAAATAACCTGATAAAAATTGTGATTTGGAAATGTGAATCTGGCAGTAAAATGAAGAAAGATTAGAGAGGCGGCAGGCAAAGAGGCAGGTTAGAAGCAATTCCTTGTCCAGGCCAGGTACGTCTTAGTAATTGATGTTCATATGGCTAGCTCCAAATTACCACAAGCACTGACTGCTGCAAGCTGATTCTTGCTGACATCAAGGACAGAAAGGTAGGGATATTTATCTCTGGCTATACCCCCCACATGGGACAACCTGTGAATAAAGCAATCTGTTCACCCATATGGACCCCACAAGTTTTATAAATGTGAGTAAATTCACTCATAACTGGCATTTCATATAATTAAATTTAGCAGAGATTAATCATCAAAATTACACCAATTGCAGTTTCCCATTTTGGGCAATGTTTATCGATTAAGTAGAAAGAGACATACATACACATACAACAACATCAACAAGCAAGAACAACATTTTTCCAGCCAAAATTATCTTATTCTTCTATATTCTACATGGTACACTTTATTAATAAAACCACAGTCAATCAATACTCAATATTATGAACACAACTGACACTATGAAATAAATAGATGATCGTTGGTTAGCTTGGTTAGGGTGGACAAAAGGGTACTATCTGAAATAAAAATGCCCGCCTATGTCTGGATAACTTCATGATTGTCAGCCTGAAATATACCCATGGGAAGTATATTTCTTTGTAACCACTCATTTTGTCAGTCATTTAACAAGTATATATTAAATGTGTACATGTGTGGCAAATGTGGCAGGAATAAACTAGATTTCAGGGAAATAAATAAGCAAACAAAATGATTCCTTTTCTTGAGAAATTTCAAGTCTATTGGGATACATTAACAGATGCTATGAGAGACAGGAAGGTGAAGAAATGGATGTCTTTAGAAAATCAACATGCATGTATTAAATGTTGGCCATATAAAATCTGTGTTATTTACCATTATTTGTAAAAGATTAAAAGATAAAGCTTAGTAATTTTTCAAAATGCAGACATACTTATGGATTTTCAAACGAAGGTAATATTAATAAATGGATATGTTGCTTTCACTTGTCATTTAATAATATTTTCATTGAGCACCTAGTATATTCTAGGCATTGTAGTAGACAATATGGATTTAATGATAATTAAAACATGGTCTGGCCTGGCACGGTGGCTCACGCCTGTAATCCCAGCACTTTGGGAGGCCGAGGCAGGTGGATCATCTGAGGTCAGGAGTTCGAGACCAGCCTGGCCAACATGGTGAAACCCCATCTGTATTAAAATACAAAAAATTAGCAAGGCGTGGTGGCAGGTGCCTGTAGTCCCCGCTACTCGGGAGATTGAGGCAGGAAAATGGCGTGAACCTGTGAGGTGGAGCTTGCAGTGAGCCGAGATCACACCACTGCACTCCAGTCTGAGCAAAAGTGCGAGACTCTGTCTCAAAAAACAAACAAACAAACAAACAAACAAAAACACATGGTCTGCAACTAAGTAGTTTATTAGGCAGTGTGATGTATCTGTCAGGCTAAATTACATTGTACCAACAACTTCAGAATAAACAAGATTTATTTTTGAGTCATGCTACTTATATATCATAGTTCAGCCTCACCTCTGTTTCATATAGTCTTCAAAACAGGAGAGGGCTGATGGGAAAATCTCTATGGGAAATATGGCTGCTTCTGTGGCAGAAAGGAGAAAGAGATGAGGACACACGTCACTTCTGCTCACATTTAATTATTCGATGCACAGCCTATGACCATCATAAAACCAACAGAATGGGGAAGAAAAAAACCACCTTGCAGGAAGATATATCACAGGGAGAGAGCTGCGATATTTGGTAAACAATATAATCTACTGCAGTGAGTCAACTAGGGCTACAAACTCTCCCAGTAGAAATTTTCATGGTTCTCAAAAGAAATCATCATGGACATACTTAGTAGTTGATAAAATCCTCAGGTTGATTATTTATCCAAGAGCTGTTATGATAGAAAAAAACAAGGACAAACACGAAATTATCATCACCCTCTAGTGCTCAGCACAAAACTAACAGCAATAGCCCATCACGAGTGGAATGGTCCAATGAGAACTGAAAAATTTGTTTTTATGGCCTCATAAATTTAGGTTCTTTTTGTCTACAGATCATGATTCACAGAGAAGAACAATTTGCAATAGGGGGAACAATAAGAGTCTTGCTAAACTTAACATAAAATTAGGCACGTTTTCCCTCAATATATTACTTTTCACACCTTTGAAATTCTATTGCTTCTGCTGCTATTACTGGCACTACCACCATTAACACCACTACCACCATCACTGCCACCACCATAATGACCACCATCACCACCACCACCACCATTGCCATCACCACTATCACCACCACCATCACAACCATCACCACCACTATCCCATCATTATCACCATCACCACTACCACCATCACAGCCACCACTACCATTACATCACCAAGACCTCCACCATCACAGCCATCACCACCACTATCCCATCATTATCACCATCACCACTACCACCATCACAGTCACCACTAGCATTACATCACCAAGACCTCCACCATCACAACCATCACCACCACTATCCCATCACCACTACCACCATCACAGTCACCACTACCATTACATCACCAAGACCTCCACCATCACAACCATCACCACCACTATCCCATCACCACTACCACCATCACAGTCACCACTACCTTTACATCACCACCATCACAACCATCACTACCACCCTCAACATCATTACCAAAACCATCACCATTACCACCACCATTATCACCTTCGCCAGCACTATTACTATCAACATCACAACCATTTCACTGCCACCTTCTACTGAAGACTCTTTTTTGCCTTATATGCATTCTTAAATTTAGTTTAATGTACAATGATCTTACGAAGTAGATACCATGGCTATCCCTATTTTATAACTAAGGCAAGTGAGGCTTAGTGAATTGTTTTAAATGTTCCAGGTTTTCACAGCTAATAAGTAATAGACTCTGAAATTCAAATCCTGGAATTTTAATGTCAAAACTTAAGAACTTAAGCAATATACAAATTATCTCTAAGTGGTGTTAATTTAGTTAGGAAGTACATAACTTGTCTTTCTCCATGATAGCAAAAACAGCAATAGTAACAACAAAACAGTGTTCCACTTGTTTCACTGTTATTGACTGGTAGTAGAAAATCACAGGGTTTGGTACCAGAAGATGTCTTTTCTTTTCTAGTTTCACTTCCAATTGACTGTGTGACCTTATAGAAATCTGTTAACTTCTCTGAGGTATAGCTGTAAAATTGAGAAAATAATCTTAGATTGCTTTACCCAGTACTGGTAAGAAGGATCAAAAAATACATGTGAAATCTCAATGTGAACTATCATTCTTATAGAGCATAAATTACTATGATTTCTGCTTAATTTTTCTCTCTCTGGAAAGCTAGTCTCTCTCTCCATCACATAATCTTAGATTCTTGTCTCTAGTCCATCTCTGGAGGGATACTTACAATATTTACTACAAATGATTATCATAAATATTTGAACTTACTAGCTTTTCAATAGCAGAACAACTACCATTTTTCATCTTGATGTCTAGCAAAAGAGGCTACATACTATTGGACAAGGTCCTCAGAGGGAGCAGGACATCAGGAAGTTTCCCAAATGCTCCCAATTCAATTGGAGGGCAGGTGATGAGGGAGAAGTAAAAGCTCCTATTCACCCCAAAGAACCATTTCTTAAAGGAGGTTCTCTGACTCATGAGGTTCCAACAACTCTTTAATTATTCTGGACACAAAATGACTATCCCTTTATTTCATCCAGAAAGAAAATGAAGGAGATATTCTGCATCTCCACAGGTCAGCTTCTTATCTGGCTTATCTTTTATGGACAGAATTGACAAGGTCCTACACGGAAGAGAAGACCTCAGGGGACACGCTGCCTTGGAGTGTATTCATGAATGATTGACTTCTTGGAAGGACACTTTGAGCTTATTCTGCACAGGTGATGTGCTGTTCACAACCTCCTGAGTCATTCTGGACCTACCTGTAGAACTTTACTGAATATAAACCGCCATAGACATTAAAGAAGAATATATACAATTCCACAGAACTCGCTCCCACTCCCTTGACATAAGATTCACCAACTACAGAATCTTTGCAAAAGTAGACATGACTTCTTTATCTGGATAAGGCTTCATTTTTATTATTTTAAATGCAATTAAGAGTGAGTTATGGGATGCAAAGATATAGGAAGCTGTCAAAAGGCTTTTACTGTTCCTTTTATATATGCATAGTTCTGTTAAGCAGTACTCAGCTATTTCCTGCATTTATTTTATTACTTTGGCAAGGAGGAAATTATTTCAAACATGGGTAGAATCCTGCATCCTCACATGGTCTAACCTACTTTTTAAAATGGGTGAATACTTAAGAGTTCGCCTATAATTCTCAGCCCAAATCCAAGGATTCAAACACACAAAGGCTTCCAAAAAGTAAAATGTTCTAATTTATTTATTTTCCCATATGGAGCAGAAATTGTGTGCCACAAAACCTCCATTCATAACTTTTGAGCTTATTTGAACACTAAGATACATATTTCACTATATTCTCTAATTAAACTGAACAAATTTTTTCTGAAATAGAGAGGGTTTTCATTGGCATGTTGCAAGCTTTACCTGTTATCTTCCCTTATTGCAAAGTGTATAATTTGTCTTCTCAGCAATGGCACATATATCTTAATGTGACTTATGTTAGAAAAATAGCCCATCATCAGAGAATATTAATTGCTCTTGTTTTCTCCAAAAAGAGAGGAAAAAAGTGGTATTCATTGCAAGAGCAGATTCATCTTCAGGTTTTAAAGGGAACTTAATGCAATGTTTCCCATAATATCATTCCAATAAATGTTAGGCCCTAGAATCCTTCCAAGTCGCCAGTTCTGTTTCTCCATTATTCATTTACAAAAAACCCTTCTCTGTAGACAGTCAGATTGTCTCCATTTTCTAGATTGTCTCCATTAAGTACTTATTTTTGTCTGAATTTCTACCTTTGAAAGAGTTATAACATGTTATTTTTGAGTTCATATTCAAAGTATTGCTGTATGTCTTACACTAAGGGACAACATTGTAGCTTTAGAGATTATATTTTAATTTATTTAAAGTGATAGGAAATATTTTCTCACTGCTGGGTTGAAAAAAAAAGTCAGTGTGTGCAGAGTGCAATGCCAATAATAAAGTGGCAGGCACATATGTGAATAAAGCATTGGCTGATTTTATTGTTCTTACTGGTGCTTCCTCTCCCATTGCCATAGGACTAAACCATTCCAAAAGTATCTCAAAATTCTGCAACAAAGTTTTCCCTGATCCTCATACTTTAATAGTTTTTATATCTATGGTTTTTCATAGTACTCTCTTCCTGACCACCTCTTGTTTAATATGTGACTGTTAACAATTGTTGCTTTTGCAAATGTATAATCCCTAGAAATAGACTGTAAGCTTCCTGAGAGTGGGTCTAATTCCTTAAGCAGTTTAATGTGACCTAAGTTACCTGGACATTGCTTGACACTAAATAGGGACTTACTGACCAAGTAGGTCCTTAAAATGATTATTGAATATATATTTTAAGAATAAGATACCAGATGATGAAAAATATTTATACAAAACAAGAGCCCATAAGCCCCTTGTAAGCAGTATGTCAGTTATCTCCCCAGGCTGTTGGGAACATAGAGGAATAAAGTCATAGAGATGGTGAGGTCTTAAGAAACACAGAGTTGATTGTAAAGCAGGAAGTGTCTACATTGTCGCATTTACTATATTTGTTTTTCATGTCCTTCCATCAATGGCTTAGATTTCTAACACTCTGGAGAGAATGACATTTTGGATGTCACTGGGTCACCATTACAGCACAATTCAGGTTTCATCTGGTGCAAGGAGAAGGGGGTTGGCTCTCATAAACGTTGGCAGTAGGAGATAGGCATTTTCTCCCACCAAGATTACACACAATGTAAGAAACGCTAGTTTTCAAAAGCAAACCAAGGTGATACTAGAAGAATATTGAATATTGGAAAATCAAAGATGATAAACATTTATTAAACCTCAGTTTGCTTAATAAATGGAATGTAGAAGATACTTAACGATAAATACGTCACTAAGAATTCTTTGCAGGCATTTAAACCCAGAACTTGAAGCATATCACTTCCAGATTTATGAGTGTGCCTATGTATCTGTAAATAAGGTATCACTAAACTACACTTGACACTGAGAACAAATTATGTTATATTCTAATTAACTCAATTATAGCCAGGTCAAGTTCACACTATTCATAGTCAAACACCATGGCTCTCAAAGTATTTCTAAGCATCTCACAAAGTTCTCATGAATCTATTCTTTCCCATGCTTTATATTCTTTAGTGAATCAAAAACGTATATGCCCCATTCCCTGTTGATTCTCAATAACACTGGTATTGTCATTTTCTGAGGATCTGCCAAGTCTAGGGTTTGCTATTTCTACCCCAATTGTTTTCCTGAGTAAACTCTTATCTAAGCCAGGGTTGAAATTGCTGAACTCAAAGCTGGAATTGTGTCTATTCAACTACCCATATCAATCTAAGACCTCCCATTACTTCACAGCTGATAATTTAGACCACAGATGTGTTCACACCTCAAGTGTCACAACAAATAAATAAAACACTACAAGGAAAAGGAAAGCTCCCATTCCTCTGAGCCAAATTCTTTTCAACTGGTTCCATAGCATGCTTGCTTGCTTTTCAAGCTATCACTAAGTTTAGGTATATATCTTCAATAGAACATCTTTGTCTTGGAACGTTGCAAAGAGCTATTTGATTACCTTTTAATGCCTATATGAAGAAGTGAGTACTTGTGCAAAAATATTTGCTGGTTTTCCATAGCTCTAGATGATGAGGTAATAGTTCAAAGATTATTATCTCACCCTGATTATCCTTTTTGAAATTGCAGTCTGCCTCCATGCCCTTTATGCTATTATAATTTTTCTTTTTCACATCATTTATCACCATCTAGCAAGTAATACATCTAATGTTAAATATATTATTTGTTTTCTGTCTTCCTTTGCTAGAACATAAGCAGCATGACAGCAAGAATTCCTTTTATTTCTTGGCGTATTTCAAGGGCCAGAATTGCACATTCCAATACTAAGTTCTTAATATACATGTGTTGAAAGAATAAAAAAGTGGATTTGTTTAAGTTACATATTAGTCTTTATTTATCCTCAGGGACAATCATCAGCTTCTTTAGTTTCTAGCTTGGAAAAGACTCAGGCATCAGCCTCACTTTGTCCCTGGCACTGGTTTTCTCCTCCAGATCTCTGGTGTCTCTTGGAAATCTGAACATTTTAGCACTCCTTAGACTAAATTGTTTCTCAGGATTTTCCATTCACTCGAAGTCTGCCAGGTAGACTCAGTATGTCTTAATCCCAGTTGTGGAAACGAGTTGAGTTTTCTGTTACTTTCTGTTACATTCTGCCCATTCCCAAAAAAAGTTCCATCACTCCTACCTAAAATAAAAATAGGCATGTGGAAAGGAGAAGAATAGCCTACCTGCACTGCACATGCCAAATACACAGAAAGCTTTGCTATAAGCATTTTCTTTTATAGAGAAAGACAATGATAACGAGAACATTGGAAGACTTGCTTCAGAGAGCCAATGCATCAATGTTTGAGGAGGAATTGTTATATCTTCCCCAACTCCCCACGTTGGTCTATAATCAAGCAATTTCCATCCTTATAGACCTATTGCAAAGAATGTGAATGTCTGTCTCATAGGGAAGGCCCTTTTGGGCTTGAGAAAAACAGATGAGCATTTGGGCTGACTATAGAACAAAGAGTGTTAGAAAATGGTTATGTCATCTGGTGGAGCTGCTGTGCAGTGTATGTGGAATCATGTAATGAGAGACAAGGTAAGAAAGATGAGCAGGGGTAAGCAGGACTGGGCAATAAAATGGGAGGAGATCCCGAAGGTGTGGCATCCCAGAACCCAAGTAGAAAAAATATTTCAAATAGAAGGAGATCTGCAATGTCAAATGCTGCTGAGATACCTGATCATCAGAGGATGGAGAAGCAGGGAATTCATAGCATTGAGGTCTTTAGAGATCATGCCAAGAGCAGAAACAAAGAAACTATGATATAAAAGCCTGAATGTGAAGAGTTAAAAAAAAAAGGACAGAAGGTATAGAGTAATCAAATATTTAGGACATTTTCCGTAGCTTTGTTATAAAAGAAAACTTGAAATGAGTAGAGAAGGGAATTAGCTAGGTTTATTTTGTAAAAGACAAAACTATCACAGATTTTTGTAGGCAAGCAGAATTGATCCAATATAAAAAAAATGTATTATTTTAGAAGAGGGGATTTTATATATATATATGTATATATGTATATACACACATATATGTATATATGTACATACACACATATATGTATATATGTACATGCACAACATATATGTATATATGTATATATACACACATATATATGTATATGCATGTATATATGTGTATATATACACACACACACACACAGTGTTTGTTTGAGTAGGAAAAGTCAACAATGTAGGAACAGTTCAACCTTGTAACAGGAGTGAGAGCAGAGTATATAGGTACAAGCTAGACGCTTGGTAGGGAAAAGATAGAATCATTATTTTTAGATGGCTCCAATTTTCTCCATGAAGTAAAAGGCAAGGTTATCTCTAAAAGTGAGAAGGGGGTGGGCTTAGTGGCAGCTTGAAGATGGAGGAAGCTGACGAATAGCCATTTGGGATTGCATATTTAGGATACATTTTAAAGGTCACCTGAATAAGTAGTTCCCAAACTTAGCCAATCATCCACATGGATGGTGTCCACAAACATACTTGGTCCCAACTCATACTTAGAGAACAATACTTATGCAAAATAGATCCAAAAAATATTCACTTAAAAAAATAAAGGAAAGGTCTTTTCAGGAGATTCCGATGACCTGCCAGATTTGGAGACAGCCATTATTGTTATGTTGCAGCCCCACCTATGGCATATCTAAAGAAGCACGCTTATCGTGAAAAGAAACAAGTTCATCATTTACAAAATACAGGAAATGACAGCCCCATATTCTCAGCTCTGAAAGCCTCACGTTTGCAGATCATCATGGTGGTCAGTTCCACTTCACAATGTTGTCAGTTATATCTCTGCTTTTTCAAAGCTTAAAGACTGCTTTACTTGAGTATCTTTAATATTAGCACAGAGACTGGCACATAGAAAACACTTGATACAAAGCGTATTCGTTACGGAACCTCTACTGCTAAAACGGAAAACCTCAAATTTGCAGTAATTTGCCATAAGTACAAGGTATTTCTCGCTTAAATAATGTCCAGTCATTGGATGAGTAGATGAAGGAATTCCTTCCAATCCAATCAATTATGGAAGTAGATAACAAAGACTTTCCCATCTTCATTGACCACATGGCTTCCATGGACACTCTGGGAATCTAGTAGTCAGGTTGGGAGAGACAGTATGTGAAGAATGCCACAGAAAGTGGTTTAGCCTGGAAGTGGCTCATATGACTTTTTCCTACCTTCTCTTGGTCATAGGACCTTCTTAGTAATAGGACCCCACCTAGATATAAACTGGTGCGGAACTTGTATATCCTGGCTGGGTATCTGCTGCCAGCAAAAATTATGAGACTATGGAAGTGGAACATAAACCATTGATGGCATTTTTGACCAACTCTGTCAAAAAAATTGTAAAGAAGATATTTTTTGAAGCTTTCTCAGAGTCCTTTTGCAACTATTACTAATTCTTAATAATTTTCATGAGAATAACAATCTTATATATTTTATAGTGTTCATGCATTATTCAACATGTACTCTGCACAAAGATACACACACATATGCCCTTGTAGAGTCATATGGGGGTTGCATTATGAATACTCATTTTAAGAAGCTCATAATACATAAAGCGACGGAACATATGGATAAACCATTATGATAAAGCCTGGTATGTTCTGCGATGCTGACTGTATGAGCAGTCACAGAAAGTGCATCTTCAAGTCAGTGGCATTAAGGCAAGCTTTCCAGGAGAGGTGTTTCAGCTGATCTTGAAAGGAAACTGGGAATAAGATGTTGGAGAAGAGAGGGGAAGTACCCCAGATACTGTGGCAGAGGAGCTATGGTAGTTTTGTACGGCTGGAGTGAAGAGTTCATGGGGAAACAATGGGAGATATGCTTGGAACGCAGGCATGGAGACCATCACAGAGGGACTTGTGACTGTCTCTTAGGTCTTTATGCTTGCATATTTTAGCACATGCTATTTTTTGTGTTTTTTTTTCTTGTTTAAGTTCCAGAATACATGTGAAGAATATGCAGGTTTGTTACATAGGTATATATATGCCGTGGTGGTTTGCTGCACCTCTCAGCCTTCATCTAGGTATTAAGCCCTCCATACATTAGGTATTTGTCCTAATGCTATTCCTCCCCTTGCCCCCGACCCCCACAACAGGCCCTGGTATGCGATGTTCTCCTCCCTGTGTCCATGTGTTCTCATTGTTCAACTCCCACTTATGAGTCGAATATGTGGTATTTGGTTTTCTGTTCCTGTGTTAGTTTGCTGAGAATGACGGCTTCTGTTTCTTCTACTTAACATTAATTGCCCACTCTTTACCTGAATTTACGTGTTGTTGTTTTTTTGACACTTAGATTTCTTATGACATCTTCTCAATTTAGGTGTTCTTCAGGTTTCTGCTAAAGATGACTTTTCCTTAAGATGCTTTTCTGGATCCTATTCTTCTTTCAATTGGTATTATATTTTCATGTTGTTTTTTTCATAGCAATTATCACAAGGACTATTTTAAAAATAATATGTGTTTTTATCATGTATGTGTTCCTTGCTGGGTTGCATTATTTATGAGACTGAGAGCTGATCTGTAGTTGTCACAGTCATATACCTCTCACTAGCACAGAGCCTAGCAGAGAGGAGGTGACATGAAAGAAAGAAAGAAAGAAAGAAAGAAAGAAAGAAAGAAAGAAAGAAAGAAAGAAAGAAAGAAAGAAAGAAAGAAAGACAAGAAAGAAAAGAAAAGAAAAAAGAGGAAATTGGGTGCTCTCACATACCAGACATTGTGCTAAATGTTTTAAGGTTATTTTATCTCATCCTAACTTCCGTGATTGATACTATCAACACCCTCAATTATACAGACGAAAAAACTGAGGCCAAAAGAGTTAAATGAATTGCTCAAGGCCATATACCTGGTAACAATGTTATTCATTTTCATTGTTATTTTAAAATTCCATTATCTCAACTACTGTAAAGCACAGTAAAGACTACTGTGACATTAAGCAAGCTCTGTGGGCTTCATGTGTTTCACTTATAAAATGAAGGGGTGATTTCTATAATCTCCATTTGAAAATAGATTTATATCTGAGGACACAAAAACAGGTGGGCTTAGAAGGGTTAGATGTTTTACCCAATGTTATTGAGCTGGTATAGATCAATGACAGGAATCCTAAACCCCTGATCCTCATAAAACACATTTCAGGGCCAGGCGCAACGGCTTACTCCTGTAATCCCAGCACTTTGGGAGGCTAAGGCTCTGTAAACCTAAGGTCAAGGGTTAAAGGCCAGCCTGGGCAACATGGTGAGACCCCATCTCTACTAAAATTACAACAATTTACACCGTGTGGTGATGGGTGTCTGTAATCACAGCTACTCAGGAGGCTGAGGCAGGAAAATTGCTTGAACCCGGGAGGCGGAGGTTGCAGTCAGCTGAGATCCTGCCATTGCACTCCAGCTCGACTCTGTCTAAAAAAAATAAAAAAATAAAAAAATAAAATTCAGGAAGCCTTTCTGGGTGACTTCCAAATGGGTCCAAAATACAAGAGAAATAGTTCATGTAGTTCTAGGATTACCAGAATCATGAATACAATGAAGCAATCCAAGGAATTTTCCATTTCATTCAATTCATCAACATTTAATGAATTCCCAGTATTATGGATCTCCCATGCATTAGGCATTTCATACTGGCTCTCAAAGCACTGACTCACACTTTAAAAATAAATTCCCATCATTTAGCTCATTCTCAGGATGGGTTTTCTCATAAAAAGTTTTCTGATCAGCTTCTGCTCAGTTCTTAGCTTGCCAGGTGCACGACAAATGGCAATGTGGTGACGTGGACTGGTGTATTCTTGTTAGTACCAACAAGGAGATACAAAAAGACCCTTCATTTACGCGTGTGTCTGACTTTTAAACTGGTCTTGAAAACTGTCAGTTCAGATCTTTGTTCTGTCTTAACATGAAGAGTCACAGTTTCTGGCTGCTTATCCATAAAATACCACTTGATTTTTATATATGTTGTGATTATAAGGATTTTCATAGGTGCACAATTACAAATAAGCAAGAGAATTCTATTACACACACACTTCATACCTTACACTTAGAAAATTCTGAAATAAGTTTTTTTTTGTGAATTTCTATAGGCCTGATGAAATGCCTTTGTATTCATGAACTACACATTGGAAACAATACAGATAGCACTGGGCTTGTATTAAGGAAAGCTGCATTCAAATTCTAGCTCCCATATCTGCTGGATGTGTGTCCTTAATCAAGTTATTTTATATCTCTAAAATTTGGTTTCCTTAACTGAAAATGAGTATGTTGAGACAATTCAATCATATTTCAGAAGAAGATCACTGAGAATGGCTAGTACAAAGTAGCCATTAATAAATCCAAGTTGAATTTGAATCTCAGGTTTATCTCTCCATACCCCCTTCCCATTTACATACACTTTCATTTTTAAGGCAACGCTCCACATCATTTTGCTGAATATATCCTATGTGTCAAATATATCCTATGTGTCAAACAAAATACTGACCCAGAATAACTGACTTGAAACAATAATTAGCTATTTTCAATATAAGCTCTGAGCTGGGCTGAAGGACAAATGTCCTTGTTCAAATATCACTGGTGCTCCTTGCCTTGGTTAAACTCCTCAGGCCTCAGCTTCCTCATCTATTAAAATAGCATGGGTATACTAATGCCCTTCTATAAAATTACCGGGAGCATCAACTGTAATAAAATATAAGCTAGTTCTCAGAAAATCCATAGACATTTTACAAATAATGCTATTTTTGGTCTGTTTTTATTAATTTTATAAGCCATTCACATTCAGGGCAGAAATTGTGAAATCTCATGATATCAGTATAGCCAAATATAGAGCATAACAGGGAATACTCACTATCCCTTAGATACAGCATGAAGACAATGTATGAAGAGACCATACTCTTTTTGGTCAGGGCAGCCATTAATTATTCATAATTAAAAAAATACTGATGTTTATATTGTGCTGCTATTATGACATGATACACGGTAAAATACAGATCATATATTTTTGTTTGTTTTAGTACAATTTTGACAGTTTTTTTTTCGTGACAGTCTCGCTCTGTAGCCCAGGCTGGAGTGCAGTGGAGGGATCTCCGCACACTGAACATCTGCCTCCCAGGTTCAAGCAATTATCCTGCCTCAGCCTCCTGAGTAGCTGGGACTACAGGTGCGTGCCACCAGGTCCAGCTAATTTTTGTATTTTTAGTAGAGTTGGGGTTTCACCATGTTGACCAGGATGGTTTCCATCTCTTGACCTCATGATCCACCCACCTCAGCCTCTCAAAGTGCTGGGATTACAGGCATGAGCCACCACGCCCGGCTGACAATTTTTTATCCTTTGGAAAGTTGAACAAGAAGAGCTGTGTACTCGTAATGTCAATCTTTACTGATTTCTTAAAGCTCTGTTTACGAGGATGACCATAATTCCACTGGTGTTCATGCTTCTATGATCACCATTTGACATAAGCAGACAGAAAATAAAAAAGCCAGCATAGTAAGAAAGAAACATCCTTCCAGGGGTCTCCCATATGCTGAACTGGCACTGCTATTTACCATAATTTTCTGAAAGTTCATGAAAATCCTTAAACCTACATATTATCATTGCAGCTTTAAGAATCAGAAAACTTGACCCAAAGAAGCCATAATATACCACAAATCAAAGAAGTAGTAAGATGCAGAAGTAACTCAATTGACTCCAAACTGTTGGAATCCAAACTCCATTTCCTTTTGCTACACTAGACTGCCTTCATGTGATGCTGACTGTAGATTAACCACACACATGTACAGCAGGTCACTGTAAAGGCCCAGCCTTGATCTGCCCAATCCTATTATTCAAGAATCAGACTGGAGTTGAAAAATATTTATTTTCTCACAACAAATTATAATGATTAGCTCAATGTGTAATCTAAGAGGCTGAGCATACACTAAGCAACAAATCTGATACTCTCATAATTTCTTCACTTCCACAAGCTACCCTTAGAAATCAGCACTATCTTAAACTACCAGGACAAGGCAAATACAAAATAGGGCCTGACATTTCAGCAGTTTTATAGACAGGAGAGTCTAGATTATCAAAATCAAGTCCACATATAATTATATCACATACAAAATAAAATGTAGCTCCAGATAACCCCAAATCACTTTTGTTACTGTGTGTTTTTCTTTAAATAATACTTCTATGACCATAGGCTTATTCTCTTATATAAAATATGGCATTATCATATTGTTGCCTGAGAAAAAGACACACACACACATTCACAGACACTTAATAATGAATCAGAACCAAGAGTGATTATTTGCTTTTCACTTTTTCCTCTCAAAGCATATAAATGAGTCTAGACATGACCAAGTAAAGAAGATGTACTATCTTGAGTTCATGAGATCTTGAGCTGCTTGCTTAAATTAATAGAAGAGAAACACAGCAAAATAGGATTTTAAAAGCTTATTTATGCAAAAAAGTACTTTTCATGGTTTAACAATTTTAGCAGAGCATACATGAAGAGAACTCTGCTGAGATCCCTAGAAAAGAATGTCACCTATTCCTGACCCTCAGGTGGTCTTCATGGGTGGGCAAAGTAAATAGCACCCATGTGGCATCATTGATAGGGCACAGGAGAGTTTCCAGAAAACAACTGCTTAACTCCTAAAGATCCACTTCTTCTGTTTCTACGGCTGTTTAAATATAGCATTGACTTTCAATGCATGACATTATATAACTATTTGAAATGAGTATAAGCTCTTGGAAGCCCTTTACATCTGGGTATGAATTTATACTCTGCACTGGGGAGCTGCAGGAGCCTGTCTCTTCCTGCATAAACTGTGAAATACTCCCCTATCTGCCTCACATAGTTGTCACGTACATTTAGTGAACCAATTATCTGGTCCTTATATTCTGCTTTATTTATCCAGCACCACTCCTCCTCTACCCAAAAACATCCCTTCCCCTCATGTCAGTCCGCATCTGAGAAATGCTCTTTCTTCCATCCCAGCCTTAGATTTATCTGGAAGCTTCCAGATTCTTTTGGAGTGCTTGATTATGATTAATTGACCCAAGATGGTATCCCAACTTTTTTTTTTTTTTAACTGGAACTGAGAAAATTTACTACGTTTTGGTTCTGTTCCCCTCTGGCAGCAAATCTCTAAGATGTCAGTAAGATGCTACTAACAGCAAAGTTCATGGTCATTCAAAATTTGAGTCCCATTCATTGAAAACATTATTAAAACAGTTGACCATAGTCCCTTTTTCCACTTGCTGATCTCACATTCTACTTTCAATTAACTTCCATTAGGTTTTTCCCTCTACCTCTCTACTAAATATGTTCTTACCAAGGACATAATTCCCTCCATTTTGCCAAATTCAATGGTTGCTTTTCTGCTCTTTTATTTAATGGCATTACAGCCACATTAAATGTAATAAATACCCCCTCTGCCTCAAAACACTTTTGTTGTTGTTGTTGACTTCCAGTACACCACCCTATCCTTTTTACACACCAGATTCTTGGTGACTTTTTCTCAGCATCTTCTCTGGTTCTTTCTCCATTAAAGCCCTAACTGTAAGAATACCAGCATAGGACCAAGATTGATCTAGCCCCCTTTCCTCTCTCTCAGAATACTCTCCTTAGCTAACCTTGCGAGCCCTTGGGCTTTAAATGACATTGGCATGCTTATTTTCCTAACCCAGAGCTTCCAGCTCTGACCTCTCTCTAGAAGTCCAGATTTATGTGCACAACTGCCCGTAAGTCATCTCTATGTAGATGCCTAATGGATATCTCAAGGATCTGAATATCACTTTTGATTACCCTTTCTACTCTTTGATTTCCCTTCTCTACTCTTGTCACCTAAGTAATACCAAATCAGCCAAGCCAAAACATGGAGAAATTATCTTTGATTTGGTTTCACAAGTCCCCCTTCTTTTCTGCCTTCACTGACTGTTTCCCGAGTGCCTTCTAAGTATAGTCCCATATAAGGCCCACAGTTCATACCTTCCATTTCTTATCCTTGAGGGCAAAGAGCATCAAAAGGAAGCCCTCCTGCAGACTTGAGTTTAACTCAAATACAGACCAATGATTTTTCTAATGCCTTGTCCTACAGACTTGAACTTAACTTGGATAGAAGCCAGCTATTTCTCTAACACCTGGTCCTATAGGTGCAATCAGGGCCACACAGGACTTTCTACGTGCTGTCATTTTGGGTGGTCTCTGATCACAAGTCAGCCTGAAGTAGTTGCGACTGATGTCTCTTAACTCGCTATCTACAAGACATGATTGTTGTCTCTCTCTGGGACTCTGGACTCTGTGATCCTCAAGGATGCTCTCATTATTGGATTGTTCTTCTCTGTAAAAAAAAGAACAAAAGCTGAGCCATTTCCTAATTTTACACTGAATAGACCTTTTCTGTTTGCCTACACTTATTCTAAGTATTCTACGTGTGTAAACTTTTTAATATTCACAACAAACCTTTAAGGTAGGAATTGCAATGCAGCTAAAAGCTACTTGACAAACTATAAGAGAGGTGCTCCTCTTTCACTCTGTGAGTTTGGGCTTGTGGTTGCATTGCATTCTGCTCTACACTACAGGCCTAATTGGCACAGAGCCTGGCACACTTTAATGCTAATACCTAACATGTGAATTAACATGCTCAGTGTGATGGAGACAGGCAGGTGAATCTACTCTAAAGATCACTGTTATAGGCTAATTGTGTCCCTCTCAAGATTTATATGTTGAAGTCTAACCCCTAGTACCTGAGAATGTGACTGCATTTGGAGACAGAGTTTTTAGATAGGTAATGAAGTTAAAATGAGGTCATAGGGTGGGCCCTAATCCAACATGACTAGTGTCCAAATATGAAGAGGAGATTAGGACACAGATATGAAGAGAGGGAAGACCATATGAAGACACAGTGGGGTATAGTAGACACTTGCAAGCCAAAGACTGGGTCCTTAGAAGAAATCAACCCTGCTTACACATTAATCTCAGACTTCCATCCTCCAGAATTGTGAGAAAATAATGTTCTGTTGTGTAAGTCACCCAGTCTGTGCTTGTTATGAAAGCCCAAACAAACTAA
Organism: Homo sapiens; assembly: GCF_000001405.40. Classification (NCBI taxonomy): domain Eukaryota; kingdom Metazoa; phylum Chordata; class Mammalia; order Primates; family Hominidae; genus Homo; species Homo sapiens. The sequence goes on along the minus strand of NC_000008.11, from coordinate 136,198,526 downwards.
CAAAGTCACTATGGTGGATGCCATGGGCTCCAGTAATTCATGAGCCACTGTCATGCAGGTGAGTCACCTTCATCCAGACTCAGACATTGAAAAAGCTAGCAGAACAGAGGACACTTAGATGGAAGACAAGAGAGAGTCTATGGCAGAAGAAACACCTCACCCGTTCTACACATATGGCCTTACCTAGACATATGTGTAAGTAACTTGCCGTCTAGAAGACATGATTGCTCTCCCTCTCTCTAGGGACTCTGGACTCTGTGATCCTCAAGGATGTTCTCATTATTGGATTGTTCTCTTCTGTAAGAGAAAGAACAAAAGCTGAACCATTTCCTAATTTTATACTAAATAGACCTTTACTAGATAGGAGCACTGGTAATAAACTGGAATAAGCCTAAGCAAGGACCCAAAAGACTGGGCTCTAGGCCTGACAGCTGATAGTCTGTAACAGTGGGGAAGACCATCGATGTGTCTAAAATCCAGTCACTCCACTGGACAATTTATTAACCATTTGCGCTTTACAGGACAACTCAAGGGGATGACGACTAGCAGGTGACTTTGCTAATTCTGGTATGCTCTGCAAATGTGAGGGGTCACTCTTATTATTTTTACTCCTGTTTTTATTTTACAAAATCTAACCAGTGGCCCAGGACAAAATGCATCCAGCTGCACTGATGAATACTGCCTGCCTCTGCAATTGCCTTCTTCATTTGTTTCTATTTCAAACACTCTGTGAACAGAGTAATTGAGTTTGAATTGCTTGGGGGATCCTCCCCCCTCATGATTCCATTCAAGGAGAAGCTCATAGTTGTTAATGATTTATTATTTTCCCTCCTAAGTATATTTGGTACGTGTGCCCAGCACAGTAGCTACATAAGGGGAGCACACACGTGCCATCACTTCCAATACAGACATGAATAAATCCAGGGCAGCCCTTCTGCCTTGATCACTTATGGAAGCAGCTCTTGTATACTCTAAAATGGATTATTTTTTTAATCTCACAGCCCCTCTCGTGGGAGCTGTGTCTAAATTAACTCCGTGTCCTCAAGCACCCTGGCTTCCACCCAACCCTTAATGTTTCCACTGCTCTGAGAAGGCAAGAAGGACTCTGTAAGTTTTCAATTGCAGAGATATTCCTGTGAATTTCAGCCCACCTGTAAATAAAAACAGCTCAAGTATTTCAGATCAGTCATTACATGCTAAGCTGTGTCATAAGCTTTTAACAAGTGTAGCTTTTTTTTAAGACTTAAAACTCAGTGAGGTAAGAATTATTATTGTCTTATTTTATAGGTGCAGTGGTTTTAAAATATGACTGTGAATTCTTAGATATTTCTTCCATGATAAGGTGACGTCTATGCCCTCTTCCCTTATATCTGGGCAGGCTATGACTGCTGGCCAATAGAAAACAATAGAAAAGACACTCTGACTCCAGAAGCTTGGTCATCAAAGGCCATGTAACAATCACCTTCATTACTGGAAATCTCACTTTGGGATCCTAGAACCATCATGTAAGAATTTCTAGCACTCTACCTGTAGAGGCCCTGCCTGCCCTTTGGTCAATAGTTGCATATGAAGCCAGTCTCCCAATCATCACTGCCAAGGTGCCAGACATGAGAGAAGCCTTTCCTGGATACCCTAGACCAGCCACCTACCAACGGAATACCATCAAGTGACATCTGTCAACACTGGGGAGAAAAACAACAGCTCAACCAATCTCTGCCCAGATTCTCACCTGGAAAATTATGAGATATATAAAAATAGATGTTAATTTAAGACATTAAATTTTCGGGGAGTCTCTAGACACACAACAGTAAATTACCTAGATACCAGTTGAAGAAAGTGAGGCAAAAAATAGTGAAGAACTTATCCAAGGTCGCAATGATATGTCATGAATTGGAATTAGACTCCAGAGAGTCTGATTCTAGAAACTAACTTCATATATAGCCTTTTAGTCATAAATCCATAACCATATGATAATGACATTTTGAATATAGACTGGAGAAAAAAAGTAGGATCTGACTCAACAAAAGAAGTGAGTTCTTACAGCAAATGCTGTCCAAACAGTAAAGTCGGGACAGTTTCAGCTTTTAAAGATATGGGATAGTCAAATATTATAGCTTTAAATTCTTCTCCAACCCCCTATCAATTGTGTAGCCCTGACCCAATAAGTGAACTTTTCTAAACCTCCACTTTCTCTTTTGTAAAATGTAAAGATAATAACTGAGAGATTCACATGAGACCAGATCTAGCACATAGTATACACTCAATTTTAAATGTTGAAAAAAATCTTAGAAGATAATTTCCTTGGGGGGAGGAGCCAAGATGGCTGAATAGGAACAGCTCCGGTCTACAGCTCTGAGCCTAAGCGACTCAGAAGATGGGTGATTTCTGCATTTCCATCTGAGGTACCGGGTTCATCTCACTAGGGAGTGCGAGACAGTGGGTGCAGGTCAGTGGCTGCGCGCACAGTGTGTGAGCCGAAGCAGGGCGAGGCATTGCCTCACTTGGGAAGCACAAGGGGTCAGGGAGTTCCCTTTCTGAGTCAAAGAAAGGGGTGACAGACAGCACCTGGAAAATTGGGTCACTCCCACCCAAATACTGCGCTTTTCCGATGGGCTTAAAAAACGGCGCACCACGAGATTCTATCCGGCACCTGGGTCGGAGGGTCCTACGCCCACGGAGTCTTGCTGATTGCTAGCACAGCAGTCTGAGATCAAACTGCAAGGCAGCAGCCAGGCCGGGGGTGGGGCGCCCGCCATTGCCCAGGCTTGCTTAGGTAAACAAAGCAGCCGGGAAGCTCCAACTGGGTGGAGCCCACCACAGCTCAAGGAGGCCTGCCTGCCTCTATAGGCTCCACCTCTGGGGGCAGGGTACAGACAAACAAAACGATAGCAGTAACCTCTGCAGACTAAAATGTCCCTGTCTGACAGCTTTGAAGAGAGCAGTGGTTCTCCCAGCATGCAGCTGGAGATCTGAGAACAGGCTGACTGCCTCCTCAAGTGGGTCCCTGACCCCTGACCCCCGAGCAGCCTAACTGGGAGGCACCCCCCAGCAGGGACAGACTGACACCTCACACGGCAGGGTACTCCAACAGACCTGCAGCTGAGGGTCCTCTCTGTTAGAAGGAAAACTAACAAACAGAAAGGACATCCACACCAAAAACCCATCTGTACATCACCATCATCAAAGACCAAAAGTAGATAAAACCACAAAGATGGGGAAAAAACAGAACAGAAAAACTGGAAACCCTAAAAAGCAGAGCGCCTCTCCTCCTCCAAAGGAAAGCAGTTCCTCACCAGCAATGGAACAAAGCTGGATGGAGAATGACTTTGATGAGCTGAGAGAAGAAGGCTTCAGATGATCAAATTACTCTGAGCTATGGGAGGACATTCAAACCAAAGGCAAAGAAGTTGAAAACTTTGAAAAAAATTTAGAAGAATGTATAACTAGAATAACCAATACAGAGAAGTGCTTAAAGGAGCTGATGGAGCAGAAAACCAAGGCTTGAGAACTACGTGAAGAATGCAGAAGCCTCAGGAGCCGATGCGATCAACTGGAAGAAAGGGTATCAGCGATGGAAGATGAAATGAATGAAATGAAGCGAGAAGGGAAGTTTAGAGAAAAAAGAATAAAAAGAAATGAGCAAAGCCTCCAAGAAATATGGGACTATGTGAAAAGACCAAATCTACATCTGATTGGTGTACCTGAAGGTGATGGGGAGAATGGAACCAAGTTGGAAAACACTCTGCAGGATATTATCCAGGAGAACTTCCCCAATCTAGCAAAGCAGGCCAACATTCAGATTCAGGAAGTACAGAGAACGCCACGAAGATACTCCTTGAGAAGAGCAACTCTAAGACACATAATTGTCAGATTCACCAAAGTTGAAATGAAGGAAAAAATGTTAAGGGCAGCCAGAGAGAAAGGTCGGGTTACCCTCAAAGGGAAGCCCATCAGACTAACAGCGGATCTCTCGGCAGAAACCCTACAAGCCAGAAGAGAGTGGGGGCCAATATTCAACATTCTTAAAGAAAAGAATTTTCAACCCAGAATTTCATATCCAGCCAAACTAAGCTTCATAAGTGAAGGAGAAATAAAATACTTTACAGACAAGCAAATGCTGAGAGATTTTGTCACCACCAGGCCTGCCTTACAAGAGCTCCTGAAGGAAGCACTAAACATTGAAAGGAACAACTGGTACCAGCTGCTGCAAAATCATGCCAAAATGTAAAGACCATCGAGACTAGGAAGAAACTGCATCAACTAACGAGCAAAATAACCAGCTACCATCATAATGACAGGATCAAATTCACACATAACAATATTAACTTTAAATGTAAATGGACTAAATGCTCCAATTAAAAGACACAGACTGGCAAATTGGATGAAGAGTCAAGACCCATCAGTGTGCTGTATTCAGGAAACCCATCTCACATGCAGAGACACACATAGGCTCAAAATAAAAGGATGGCGAAAGATCTACCAAGCAAATGGAAAACAAAAAAAGGCAGGGGTTGCAATCCTAGTCTCTGATAAAACAGACTTTAAATGAACGAAGATCAAAAGAGACAAAGAAGGCCATTACATAATGGTAAAGGGATCAATTCAACAAGAAGAGCTAACTATCCTAAATATATATGCACCCAATACAGGAGCACCCAGATTCATAAAGCAAGTGCTTAGTGACCTACAAAGAGACTTAGACTCCCACACATTAATAATGGGAGACTTTAACACCCCACTATCAACATTAGACAGATCAACGAGACAGAAAGTCAACAAGGATACCCAGCAATTGAACTCAGCTCTGCACCAAGCAGACCTAATAGACATCTACAGAACTCTCCACCCCAAATCAACAGAATATACATTTTTTTCAGCACCACACCACACCTATTCCAAAATTGACCACACAGTTGGAAGTAAAGCTCTCCTCAGCAAAAGTAAAAGAACAGAGATTACAACAAACTATCTCTCAGACCACAGTGCAATCAAACTAGAACTCAGGATTAAGAATCTCACTCAAAACCGCTCAACTACATGGAAACTGAACAACCTGCTCCTGAATGACTACTGGGTACATAACGAAATGAAGGCAGAAATAAAGATGTTCTTTGAAACCAATGAGAACAAAGACACAACATACCAGAATCTCTGGGACGCATTCAAAGCAGTGTGTAGAGGGAAATTTATAGCACTAAATGCCCACAAGAGAAAGCAGGAAAGATCCAAAATTGACACCCTAACATCACAATTAAAAGAACTAGAAAAGCAAGAGCAAACACATTCAAAAGCTAGCAGAAGGCAAGAAATAACTAAAATCAGAGCAGAACTGAAGGAAATAGAGACACAAAAAACCCTTCAAAAAATTAATGAATCCAGGAGCTGGTTTTTTGAAAGGATCAACAAAATTGATAGACCGCTAGCAAGACTAATAAAGAAGAAAAAAAGAGAGAAGAATCCAATAGACGCAATAAAAAATGATAAAGGGGATATCACCACAGTAATACAAACTACCGTCAGAGAATACTACAAACACCTCTACGCAAATAAACTAGAAAATCTAGAAGAAATGGATAAATTCCTGGACACATACACTCTCCCAAGACTAAACCAGGAGAAGTTGAATCTCTGAATAGACCAATAACAGGAGCTGAAATTGTGGCAATAATCAATAGCTTACCAACTAAAAAGAGTCCAGGACCAGATGGATTCACAGCCGAATTCTACCAGAGGTACAAGGAGGAATTGGTACCATTCCTTCTGAAACTATTCCAATCAATAGGAAAAGAGGGAATCCTCCCTAACTCATTTTATGAGGCCAGCATCATTCTGATACCAAAGCCAGGCAGAGACACAATCAAAAGAGAGAATTTTAGACCAATATCCTTGATGAACATTGATGCAAAAATCCTCAATAAAATACTGGCAAAACGAATCCAGCAGCACATCAAAAAGCTTATCCACCATGATCAAGTGGGCTTCATCCCTGGGATGCAAGGCTGGTTCAATATACGCAAATCAATAACTGTAATTCAGCATATAAACAGAGCCAAAGACAAAAACCACATGATTATCCCAATAGATGCAGAAAAAGCCTTTGACAAAATTCAACAACCCTTCATGCTAAAAACTCTCAATAAATTAGGTATTGATGGGACGTATTTCAAAATAATAAGAGCTATCTATGACAAACCCACAGCCAATATCATACTGAATGGGCAAAAACTGGAAGCATTCCCTTTGAAAACTGGCACAAGACAGGGATGCCCTCTCTCACCACTCCTATTCAACATAGTGTTGGAAGTTCTGGCCAGGGCAATTAGGCAGTAGAAAGAAATAAAGGGTATTCAATTGGGAAAAGAGGAAGTCAAATTGTCCCTGTTTGCAGACGACATGATTGTATATCTAGAAAACCCCATTGTCTCAGCCCAAAATCTCCTTCAGCTGATAAGCAACTTCAGCAAAGTCTCAGGATACAAAATCAATGTACAAAAATCACAAGCATTCTTATACACCAACAACAGACAGAGAGCCAAATCATGAGTGAACTCCCATTCACAATTGCTTCAAAGAGAATAAAATACCTAGGAATCCAACTTACAAGGGATGTGAAGGACCTCTTCAAGGAGAACTACAAACCACTGCTCAAGGAAATCAAAGAGGATACAAACAAATGGAAGAACATTCCATGCTCATGGGTAGGAAGAATCAATATCGTGAAAATGGCCATACTGCCCAAGCTAATTTACAGATTCAATGCCATCCCCATCAAGCTACCAATGACTTTCTTCACAGAATTGGAAAAAACTACTTTAAAGTTCATATGGAACCAAAAAAGAGCCCACATCGCCAAGCAATCCTAAGCCAAAAGAACAAAGCTGGAGGCATCACACTACCTGACTTCAAACTATACTACAAGGCTACAGTAACCAAAACAGCATGGTACTGGTACCAAAACAGAGATATAGATCAATGGAACAGAACAGAGCCCTCAGAAATAACGCCGCATATCTACAACTATCTGATCTTTGACAAACCTGAGAAAAACAAGCAATGGGGAAAGGATTCCCTATTTAATAAATGGTGCTGGGAAAACTGGCTAGCCATATGTAGAAAGCTGAAACTGGATCCCTTCCTTACACCTTATACAAAAATCAATTCAAGATGGATTAAAGACTTAAACGTTAGACCTAAAACCATAAAAACCCTAGAAGAAAACCTAGGCATTACCATTCAGGACATAGGCATGGGCAAGGACTTCATGTCTAAAACACCAAAAGCAATGGCAACAAAAGCCAAAATTGACAAATGGGATCTAATTAAACTAAAGAGCTTCTGCACAGCAAAAGAAACTACCATCAGAGTGAACAGACAACCTACAAAATGGGAGAAAATTTTCGCAACCTACTCATCTGACAAAGGGCTAATATCCAGAATCTACAATGAACTCAAACAAATTTACAAGAAAAAAACAAACAACCCCATCAAAAAGTGGGCGAAGGACATGAACAGACACTTCTCAAAAGAAGACATCTATGCAGCCAAAAAACACATGAAAAAATGCTCATCATCACTGGCCATCAGAGAAATGCAAATCAAAACCACAATGACATACCATCTCACACCAGTTAGAATGGCAATCATTAAAAAGTCAGGAAACAACAGGTGCTGGAGAGGATGTGGAGAAATAGGAACACTTTTACACTGTTGGTGGGACTGTAAACTAGTTCAACCATTGTGGAAGTCAGTGTGGCGATTCCTCAGGGATCTAGAACTAGAAATACCATTTGACCCAGCCATCCCATTACTGGGTATATACCCAAAGGACTATAAATCATGCTGCTATAAAGACACATGCACACGTATGTTTATTGTGCCATTATTCACAATAGCAAAGACTTGGAACCAACCCAAATGTCCAACAATGATAGACTGGATTAAGAAAATGTGGCACATATACACCATGGAATACTATGCAGCCATAAAAAATGATGAGTTCATGTCCTTTGTACAGACATGGATGAAATTGGAAATCATCAATCTCAGTAAACTATCGCAAGAACAAAAAACCAAACACCGCATATTCTCACTCATAGGTGGGAATTGAACAATGAGATCACATGGACACAGGAAGGGGAATATCACACTCTGGGGACTGTTGTGGGGTGGGGGGAGGGGGGAGGGATAGCATCAGGAGATATACCTAATGCTAGATGATGAGTTAGTGGGTTCAGCGCACCAGCATGGCACATGTATACATATGTAACTAACCTGCACAATGTGCACATGTACCCTAAAACTTAAAGTATAATAATAAAAAAAAAAAGTCAAAAAAAAAAAAAAAAGATAATTTCCTCCCCCAGGGAAATCCACACACCAAGTATGTATAAAACAGTGGTTGGGACATTTGTCAATGGCTGATCACTGAGGAGGTGCTAGTGGAAACCACTCAGTAGAGGTCGGAAATTGTGACAAACATCCAGCAGTGCACAGGCGAGTGCCTGTTTCTGCTCCCCACTAGCAAAGAATTATCTATTGTACAATTTTGATATTGCTGCTGTTACTAACACTTTATAAAGGGATCTTTACATTGTGTAGAAGTTGAAATAGATAATACCTAAGATCCCAGCAAGATTCAATTGCAGGACTCAAAAATGCTATTATTTCAGTTTTCTAACACACTTGGATTCTGACCTTTAACAATTCTATGATCCCAAGATTATAGGAAACCTATAAGGTTTTAAGTGATATGATTCTAAGAAGCCACAATTCTAAATTTCTAAGATTCTATTTATTATTGTAAGGTTTCTTTCAGTATAAGACTGCTTTTCTAAGCTTCTATGATGTTAAGATCTTGAGAGGCTTTTTATCTTAGATTGTAAGGTATCTTGAGGTTATGTTTCTAATAAGCTCTATCTCAAGAAACAGGGCTGCTTTTATTCTAAGATAACGAATGCTGCAGTTCTAAGATGCTAACGCATCGTAATGTACGTTTCTAGATTTATGTATCCAGAACACGGAAATGTACTGTGTTGAGGTGAGGTGTTAGTCTATATCCCATAGCTTAGATTCCCAAACTGTTTGATCTGGTTTTATAATCGACAAGCAATGTTTGAGGAATAAGATGGGCATTGAAATGCTTCTTTCAGTAAAGGAAAGTTTAGTAGCTATGATAGAATATAGAGTTGCTGGCCCAGTTTTAACTAAGTTCATGTTCTTGGATATAAAGAGGACACTAACATTTATATCCATTACCTTGAAAAAGCATATCTCATGGGATACACTTATAAGGTAACTTTATTTTTATCTCCTGTTTTCCCTTTACATTTATTCTGCAGTGATGGTTATGTTCTGCCCCTGGATTGCATTTAGGGTAAGTCTTGTACTTTTTCTGGTCATGCATAAGTAAGTAGTATATAGGAAATTAAGAAAGAATTAGTTTGTCTAGATGTTCCAGTGGAATAATCAAAACTTTTTTTTTTTTTTTTTTTTTGGTGAGACGGAGTTTCACTCTGTTGCCCAGGCTGGAGTCCAGTGGTGTGATCTCAGCTCACCGCAACCTCTGTCTCCTGGGTTCAAGCGATTCTCCTGCCTTAGCCACCTGAGTAGCTGGACTTACAGACATGTGCCACTCTCAGCTAATTTTTGTATTTTTAGTAGAGATGGGGTTTCACCATGTTGGCCAGACTGATCTTAAATTCCTGAGCTCAAGTGATCTGCCCGCTTCGGCCTCCAGAAGTGCTGGGATTACAGGCGAAGACTTTAAACTTAATCAATATTGCAGCTACTTCTCTTTCCTGGGTCTGGCTCCCTGAACTCCAAGAGAGGTGCATGGTTGGCTTCGTTTTTCTTCCTCTAAATTGCTCTTTTACTATCTCATCCTATCTTCCTAAGCCTGATTCAGACCCCTCCAGGCTAGAGAATAGGAATGGGGCAGAAGGAGGGAGAAAAGAGGTGGAGAATATATTACTTAAGTAGAACTGTTGAGAGAGAACACAGGTTCTCCTTGAGGCTGGCAAGTGTCTAACCCTGCCTCTCAGAAAACATCTGTGAATTTCTGCAGATAATGTTAGCACATCTGTATGGCTGGACTCTCCCCCTTGCAGTGAGACAGTGCATTTCTAGTTCAGCTGATCATGTAGGGCTCCTCTTTTAGCTTCTTCTTTTTGGTCTGGCCTTTTTCAATCAAGTTCACTCACCCTTCCCAAGCAAGAGCTAAGACAACTCTCTTACGTGAGGCCCACATTGGTCCGCAAAAGACCACAATGCATCCTTTGTCTTTAGAAATGCTGAGTTCACGTGAGTCCCAATTCAGCTACTTTCTTCTCCCTTCAAGCTATGGGCTAGCAGGTAATGTCTCAGGTGTGAGTGAGACACAAGTTCACAAAGGCTCCTCTTTGAGTGGTCTCTTCAAACCCTCTCTCATCTGAGATGAAAAAGGATGCTCTCCAACCTGCTACCCTGTGCTTGGTGTGCGAAGGGGGTGATAGGGTAATCAGGGACTCACCAGAAATGAGTCCTTTAATCCCCAATCTTCTGCTAATCTCTCACATTTTTATCCATCTGCTCCAACCTCTTTCATAGTCTAGAGCAGGGGTCAGTGAACGATCGTATTCTAGTCAAGTCCTGCCCACTCCCTATGTTTATAAGTAAAGTTTTATTGCAACAAAGCCACATTCATTAATTCGTACATTGCCTGTGACTACTTCAACTCTGCGGCAGCAGAAGTGAACAGGTGCAACAGAGATTATATTGTTCGTAAAGTCTGTTTACTCTCTGGTCTTCTACAGAAAACGTTTGATGAACTCATTCTGGAGACAAGAGCACAAATCTGGTTCCTGCCACCTTTTGCAGATACAGCAGGTGCTTCTTGCTTCTCTTTTTGGAAGGTATTATGTTGAGACCTATATGAAACTGAGACTGAAATAGATTTGCTTTAACCTTCTTTCACTCTGTTGAACATTTGTCAAGTATCTACTGATAAGCCAGGTATCGCACTGGAATATTTACCCAAGTTACCTTGTCTAATCCTTATAAGGTACTGTGAAGAAAGCAACATGTTCTCATTTTACAGAAGAGCATATTTACCCTCAGAGAAGTGTGGTAACTTGCCTGAGGATATATGGATAGTAACCAGCTAAGGTAAGAAGAAAACTAGTTCTGACTATGAAGGAAATGCCTTTACACTTGTCTCAATTCTGTCCAGCTGCATTTTCCAGAGACTAGAAACTGTGTTGCAAAGTTCTTCTCACATTACTGGTACTTATTTTCCATCCCAGAGATGTAGGGTGCTGTTATCATCACCATTCCTAGAACATGTGATCTGCTGTCTTTGAAGGTGGTGACTGGAGTGATCTGGGAGCAGTGGAGACACTTCTTTGTTTGAATAGCATGGGAACTATATATCTAATAACTCCCTTTCAAATTAGGATTGAGATGGATGCTGTCAAAGCCACCATCTGCAAGTGTACATTCCAGCTTCATTTCAGAACACTTTGTTATGAATTTCCTCCTGGGGAGAGTGTTGTTTTCTGACTTCTGCTTGTGAAAAGTGACATCAAAAGAAGACAAAATAAACCCCTAGGACCTTTCAATTCACTTTTATTGCAAGAAAGAATGTAAAAGTTAGAAAGAGATTTTTGACATAATGTAGAGAACTCCCAACCTTACTTCCGACTGTCCTTTTTTTTCTTTTGAGACGGAGTCTCACACTGTTGCCCGGGCTGGACTGCAGTGGTGCGATCTGCAAGCTCCGCCTCCTGGGTTCACGCCATGCTCCTGCCTCAGCCTCCCGAGTAGCTGGGATTACAGGCGCCTACCACCATGCCCAGCTAATTTTTTGTATTTTTAGTAGAGACAGGGTTTCATCATGTTGGCCAGGTTGGCCTCAGCCTCCCGAGTAGCTGGGATTACAGGTGCCCACCACCAACCACATCCAGCTAATTTTTTGTATTTTTAGTAGAGACAGGGTTTAATCATGTTGGCCAGGCTGGCCTCGAACTCCTGACCTCGTGATTCACCCACTTCAGCATGCCAAAGTGCTGGGATTACAGGCGTGAGCCACCCCGCCCAGCCTCACTGTCCCATTTTTTAGATGAGAACAGTGAGATCTAAAGGAAACAAAAGAAAAATAGTGAAACAACATGCACAGTAATTAACTACTGAGTTAAGAGAAACCAAATTTCAGACTCCAAACATAGTTTTTTCTCTGACTGAAACAAAAGATAACCAAGCCTTTTGCCTTTTTTCATCTAACAAATAATATTCTGTGTTTGCTTATTAGATACCCATGGTTTTTTGACGCTATAAGAGAAAAGGGTTAAAAACAAGTCAAGATTTCAGAAGTTAATAGAATAGGTCAAGTTTATTCAGTGAGAAGATGATCAAGCCACCTTCAGGAAGACCAAATTGATCTAGAGTATATGGGAAGCAGGGAGTATACAAGACAGCAGCGAAATAAAGTCCAAAGAGGGCTTGGGAACAACAGAGATATGACAGAAATTTGGTGGGGTTGCAAGTAGGAAGATTTGAGTGCGGGGCATAAGCACATTGTACACAGGATTTTGAAAGATCAATCGTATTTAAAATTATGCAAAATCTTCCATTTTTATTATATAAATAAACTAGTAAATTTCCAATTACTTTTTATTTCTCTTGCAGATGTCAGACTAGTGTTTCTTTCAAATACAACATATGCTGAGACATAACAGATGGCTTTTTTTGTTCAAGATAATTTAATATCCATCAGTCCTTTGTCCTTCATTCATCCAATTCATTTGTTGACTCATGCCACATGTATTTCCTGAACACCCAAAATTGTCTCGTACAGAACTCTCACTCATTCCCTCAGGCATCGTTTTCATCCAGAAGCCTCCTAGACCTATATTGGGCAAGCAACATGTTGCAACGTACATGTCTTGTTTGTGTTTTTGTCATGCCTGTCATAGCATGTAGTGCCTGTGGTAACCTTCAGGAAACATGTTTATATGAAACAATAACTGGGGACCCAGGTGACTGACTCAAAACTTTCATCATTAAGTGAGTCATGATAGATTTGGGAAAGACAGGCAAGTAAAAATATATTACAAAACACTATGGTGAGAAGTCAAAGAAGATGAAAGAACACGCAGAAAGTACATAAAGAGGCCTTGCTGAAAGGCCAATCACATGCTTTCACATTGTGTAGATGAGAACAGAAAGGTCACTCCAGCTGCCAGAGAGAGACACTTGTTCTTGAAGAAAGAACAAAATTAAAATCCTGAACCTCTCATCCTACTTGTTGTCAGGTACACTGCACTGATTACTTACATTTCTTGACTGTAAGAGGCTTTGACAAGCAACAAGTGTGAAACATGCTGGAAGTTGATTATTCTATTGAATTGGCTCTAGATAAGTTGGATAAATGAAAGGCATGCTGCTTGCCTCTGAAATCCAGGCTGAGGAAATAAAGTGGAATTGGCAAATACAACATTTCGAATGAACTCCAGTCACCACCTTCAAAGACAGCAGAGTCAAACCAATGCATCAAGTTCATAGTAGAATCCAAGGCGCTCAGTGCATATTAATTGGCAGTGTCACTCCTGAATCCACATTACATACAAATATGTTGAATCTCAATTCCCACTCAACACACATTTATTAAAACCTGGCTCTTCATTTATTTATGCATTCAGCACTTGTTGTACAAATGTTTTCTGTGCCCAGATTATGCTTGAGACTATAGAAACAGGGTCGAGCTTAGCCAACATTGCCCCACCCTGAGGAAGCTCCTCATCTAGTGAATGATCTCACATAAGCATTCACACAAATAATCAGTTTAGATTTTGATAAAAAATACTAAGAAGAAAATGTACAAAGTGTGAAAAGAATGTACAATTAGAGGCCTGGAGGTCAGTGGATTTCTCCCTGAGGAAGGGATGTTTAGGAAAGGACATGAAGGTGAGTTGGAGGAAACCAGGTAATAAGATGGGCTGTCTATTTAGGAGAAACCTCCATCATCTGCCACAGTGCTGGTGACTGTGTGTAGGGAGGGAGAGAAAGAGACTAACAAGACCCGTGATAAGCCATTGTGATGGCTAATATTGAGCGTCAACTTGATTGGATTGAGGTATACAAAGTATTGTTCCTGGGTGTGTCCGTGAGGGTGCTGCCAAAGGAGATTAACATTTGAGTCAGTGGACTGGGAGAGGCAGACCCACCTTCAGTCTGGGTTGGCACAGTCTAATCAGTTGCCACAGTGGCTAGAATAAAAGCAGGCAGAATAATTTGGAAGGACTAAACTGGACAAGTCTTCTGGCCTTCATCTTTCTCCCTTGCAGGATGCTTCCTGCCCTCGAACATCAGACTCCAAGTTCTTCAGCTTTTGGAATCTTGGGCTTATACCAATGGTTTGCTAGGGGCTGTTGGGCTTTCAGCCACAGACTGAAGGCTGCACTGTCAGTTTCCCTACTTTTGAGGTTTTGAGACTAGGGCTGGCTTCCTTGTTCCTCAGCTTGCAGATGGCCTATTATGGGACATCACCTGGTGGCTGTGTGAGTCAATTATCTGTAATAAACTCCCTTTCATGTATACATCTATCCTATTAGTCCTGTCCCTCTAGAGAATACCGGCCAATACATCCATATCAGTCATACCAATACATCCATGTCAGTCATAATGACCAATACATCCATATCAGTCATAACGCTTTTACAGGCCACATTGGAAATTATGAAAAAATTAATGAAAGGGTGAATAATACAAAAGTTTCTCTCTCTCTCTCTCTTTCGCTATTTTAAGCTCCAGCTTTTTCCTGATTCTGAGTCTGGCATTCCTTGCAGTCACAAGAGGGCTACCAAAAGCAGAGAATGTGCTTCTATGTTCATATTCAAGATGACAGCACAGAGGCATCTCCCCAGACATAGACTGTTGGACCTATCATTCAGTTCTCCTGGTCTAATTAAGTCATTCCTATCATAAGGGAATATAATGCACTGAATGGTTTAGAACAATAAGGGGCTACACTTGGAAGCAGAGCATGAAGCCAACATCCACTAGAAAGGACAGAGGTGAAACAGAAGCAAAGCTCTGGAAAGACAGAAGCAGCAGGATGTGTGATACAGGTGCTGAGGTACCTGCCATTAGTGTCACTACATCAATGAGCCCAGAGAAGCCCAGAGGAGACTCATGGTCAGCCCATGGCTGGATTAGGACATTAGGGCATCAGCTTTGGTCTTGAAAAGATCTGGATTCTATTGCTGTTCTTCCACCTGCTAGCTGTAACAACTAGAGTAACAACTCAGCATCTCATTCTCAGCTTGATCATCTTTAAAACAGGGAAAATAATTACAAGTGTATGGTAGGTTGTTTTTTTAACCATTATGGTACATTTTTTGATAAAAAAAATATGGTATAAAAAAACATATGGTATGTTTTTCGATAATACAATGATACAGATAATAGATAATGTACTTGATACATAACACACAATCAATGTATGTTCTTCCTTCCTCGTGCCTTTCATCCATCCTGTCCCAGAAAAGGGGGAAAAATTAATTCTCATATAAAGTCATAGTGAAGCTATGAAGGTTCAGTGGCAAAAGTGGGTTAAAAAAACTGGGAGAGGAGGTCGTGCAGAGAGTGACGCTTTCACGTGACGCTGGTGATACAGCAGCACAACTTAACATTGAGGAACAGAAAGACAGGCAGGATGTCTGGTGTGGATGCAGAGGATGTATGTGGTTGAGGTGAGAGATGTAGGGCAGAGCAGAAATGTATCTGGTCTGTTTAAGAACGGTCACCTTCCTGGACTCAGAATCAGCCTTTCTTTTGAACGCTAAGGCCTCTTACCATATCAAGTTCACTGTGTCCTTTTCTTCAGCAGGAATTCCCTTTCGGGAGGTTCCTCAAGGCTCATGCAAAGAGGCTGCATGTAGGCCAGCCCTGCCAGTTCACCCAAGTGCCCAGGCATGCATCAGTGCTACCTAGACTCACCCAAGAGGTCACTGTAGGAGCAGGATGTGCTTAAGCAAAGGTAACAAAGACTGACTCAACAACGGCATGCAATGCGGTTTCTTTAGTGTCACTGCCAATTATGGAAACAGAATCTGATTTTGCTCGTTTCAACAATTCTGAAAAATAAATAATAAGGTCACACACTAAAGGAGAGCAGAAAACATGGGGAGAAAACAGAATTCTAAAGATAACACTCTCATGAAATCCAGAGGGGTTGGGAATCTTTTCTGTGTGAAGGGGGTTAAGGAATGAAAGTAGAAATGTAATATGGCCCTCAGGGTTTGCTTTTGGAACAGGCTGGAACATTGTAAATGTATTTTGTGAAGCGGGGAATGGGAGAAGTGCAACATAGCATATTTGGGGAAAAGTAGGTAGCTCAAAATTGCTGGAACATATGTTTTGCATAGGGGCTTTCAGGAGATGAGGCTGCAGACTCATAGGCATTAGGAAATAAACAGGCTCTTCTCCCATACTAAGATGTTTGCCCTTTATGCTGAAGGTGAAACAGAATCTCAGGATGTCTCTAAAGTAGGGACATATTATTTATATTTTTGAAAGATCATTCTAGCTGCGTAGGAAAAATAAATTCAGTGACTACAGACAGAGAATAGATTTCTGTAAAGATCTGAATGAGAAGAAACATCATCCTGAAAATAGGAAGAAATAAGGAATGGCAGGAAATGAAGCTGGAGAAATGGGATGAGCAGATAACAAAGGGACTCCTCTGCCATCTTAAGTGACTTCTGTTTGAAAAGTCAGAAAAGCTTGAGGTTGGGAAAAACAGGCTGTGGTCATGGTGAGCGTCAGTGAATCCATTGTTTGTGTAGACATGTTCCTTGGTTCGGGTGTTGAAAGTGGAGCCCGGACTCCATGTGGGTATCTGCCTGAGACTCCGTTACCTGAAGCTGAGAAGACAAGAAAGAAAAGGGATGTATTGAGAGTTAAATTTTTCTGAAAGGGATGATGGGTTTCTGTTTTGAAAGTCTGATCTGACTGTGAGGAAATCAGTAATAAAATTTCCATATTATTCACATTTCTGGCATTTATGTTGCTGAGCATGATTATTTGCATTTCAGTTCTGACACATGAAATTTCGTGGTATTATGGGCTGAACTGTGTTCTTCCAAAATTCATATGTTAATGTTCTAACCCCCAATACCTCAGATTGTTTAGAGATAGGTAAGGCCTTCAAAAAATAATTAAGTTAAAATGAGGCCATTAGGGTGGGCCCTCATTCAATATGATTGTATCTTTATAAGAAGAGACAATTAGGACACAGATATGCACAGAGACACCATCACCATCTGAGGACACTGGCAGAAGAAAGCCGAGGAGAGAAGCTTCAGAAATCAACCCTCTACTGGCACCTTGATCGCTTCCCTCCAGCCTCCGGAGTGGTGAGAAAATAAATTTACATTGTTTAAGCTACTCAATCTGTGGTATTTGTCATGTAAGCCCTATTAGTATTAAAAATTAGTGATTAGCAATTAATATTATAAAAGTAATACACTTTACATAACCTATTGGGAAAGCTTAGTTGGACAATTGAAACTACTAAATGGAATGAATGGTAAATTTTTGGATAGTGTTTTTTTGAGGTTATCTGAATTAAGGTATTTTTGTGATTTATGATCTAAAAAACATTCTTTGGCTATTACTAAAAAGTCAAAAAATAACAGATGCTGATGAAGTTTTGGAGAAAAAGGAATGCTTTTACACTGTCGGTGGGAGTGTAAATTGGTTCAAACACTGTGGAAGAAAGTGTGGCGATTCCTCAGAGACCTAGAGACAGAAATACCATTTGACCCAGAAACCCCATTACTGGGTATGTATCCAAAGAAATATAAATCGTTCTATTATGAAGACACATACACACATATGTTCACTCCAGCACTGTTCACAACAGCAAAGACATGGAATCAACCTAAATGCCCATCAATGATAGACTGGGTAAGAAATATGTGGTACATATACAACATGGAATACTATGGATTCATTAAAAGGAACAAGATCATGTCCTTTGCAGGAACATGGATGGAATTGGAGGACATTATCCTTAGCAAACTAACACAGGGCAGAAAACCAAACACTGCGTGTTCTCACTTATAAATGGGAGCTGAATAACGAAAACACATGGACACATAGAAGGGAAAAACAAGTCTGGGGCCTATCACAGGATGGAGGATGGAAGGAGGGAGATGATCAGGAAAAATAACTAATGGGTACTAGTCTTAATACCTGGGTAATGAAATAGTCTATACAACGAACACCCATTACACACATTTACCTATGTAACGAACATGCACATCCTGCACAGGTACCCCTGAATTTAAAAAATTTAAAAGAAAAAATCCCACTATCATGTCCCTTATATTAAACATAGTTTGAAGAAATAAAAATAATAAAAACCCTTATTTAAGAATTACTAGAATTTGAATGATACATTTCAATGGTCACAAGAGAATGTGTAGAACATAGGAAGGTTTGGAGAAAGCTGCCCAAGGTGGTGAGCAGGACTTTAAGATTCCTATCATCTCCTTCTACCAGGGCTACAGCCAACCCTGACCAATCATCCAGAAACATTACTATTAATTTAAGTAATTACTATTAATTTAAGTAATTTCATTAACATGAAAAACAAAAATCAATAAAATGGCTTCTAGAGAGTGCTCATTCTTACCATACCTCTCTCAATGCACCAAACACCAATCTTTTTGATTCAGATAGGGTTCAAGATTTTAGGGCATTTTTGTATGACCTAGCCCCTGTGTAATTACCACTGGCATTGTATTTCTTTTCCCCCTCTGTGATCCATCTGCACCAGTCTCATTTCGAATCTTACTCTACACTCTGGCACTTTGAACTTTCCTTTCTCTACTTTGTTTCCTCTACAACTATGTTTATCGGGGATTCTTTTCTTCCTTTGAATCTAATTGAAACATCACTGTATTAGAAGACTTAAAACGTCAGCCCAGTTATGTGACATATTAGAAGAATTCCAAGAGGACTGTATTATCTGGGACTGGTGACAGGTCATACCCAGGAGCGGTTTCCTATGCCAATCCCCATTTTATGGTTCTAGTTCCTTTTTACCTGAGAAAAAGGGGTTGTCATTTCTTCACATCATGGCTATAAGATCAGAGCTATCAGGTTAGGTTTGAGGAGTGGGAGCTTGGGAATCATAGAGAGGGAAATAGCCTGGCTAGACTTGGTGAATCTTGGTGAAACATTTAGTTTTAGTAAAATTGATCTTTCCATGAGCTCGGCTTTGTTTATTAGTTCATATCTAAGGTTTTGCATTAAGGTTTGAGGCCAGAGCCTTAGTAAATACTAAAGGGTAATTTGTTTTATTTTCCTTCTTATGCGTGTAGGCCTCACAAGGGGAGTGTGATGGGATAGGGGAAGGTTTGACTATTCCTAAGTCACTTGGTCAGAATATCATCATACTATTTTAATTCTGTGCCTTTGACCCTCCCAATCTTGTCATAATTCCTAAGCAATAGCAACCATTGATGGCATTTAAGTGAATCCTTTATGGTAAGATCTGCTTTAAAGATAACATAAGGGGGTGAACTTGAGGTAGAAGTCACCAGAGGCAGAAAAACCTACTAACAGGTTTCTCCAATGGCCCTTCATTTATTCTATCCATTTATTTTACAAATATTCATCAAGGGCTTATTTTATGACATTCATCTTGGATCTGAGAATGTACTCATTGAAAAAATTCAAGGAAGTGCCTACACAAAGTTTTATGTTAGTAGAGGGAATCAAGGGATACATATGTTTATGTGTGTAAGTCCTATCAGGAAAGAGATACAACGATGCCATTGGGGGCTGCTGTTATATTCAGGGAGATCTAATCAGTCCTCATTCATAAGAAAATATTCAGCAAAAATGAAATAGAATGAGGAAGCAAGCCACAGGGACACCTGGAGAGGGAGGATTTTAGGCAATAAGACCAGGTGAAAAGTTTGTGAGGCAGGAATATGCTTGGCTTGCTAGGGAAAGGGTAAGGAGGCCAGGGTGGTTGGAACAGATTCATTAATGGGGAGCAGGATAGTAAATGCATTTGGAATGTTAGCAGATATGGGAAGAGGAATAGCAGATCATATAGACACTTACAAAAATATCTCTGTGTCTTTTGGTCAAAATTTCATCATTATGATATTTTAGCTTTTTTACTTCGGTGTTCCCAATCTCATTTGTCACCATTCCTGAGCAATGGGAAGCTGCTGAGGGTGTTGAAATGGTCATTGACATTGTATTGGCATGATAAGTGTTTGGCAAGTGGCCTGAGTCAGCATAGCAGCTATAGACATGGACAGATAAGGTTGAACAAGGTTCTCAGTGACTTACCCAGAAAGGCAGCAAGGCAGTTAAGGTGTCCTGAGTGGTCTTATTGAAGAAGTATGGAGGAGGTGAAGAAGGTTCTCTTTAGTCTTGGTCTGAATATGCCTTTTGATTCCTCAGTTTATCTGGTTTATCCAGGCATGGCTGTTCCCATGAACACTCGCATATGGTAACAGTACTGAAAGCTGTGGAAAAATGCTTTGATGTGTGAGCTGTCAGCAAATGTTGACTTCTCAGCAAATGCTCTGTCACTTCCTGACAGCCATGCTAGCAGCTCTGCACCTGGCAAGAGGCCATCTCCTTTTCTTGGCAGCTGCCACAGTTCTTGGCCTTCACAGTTGCACCTGCAAGTGGGTGCTGTATCATGTTTGTATTGAAGAGGCAACAGGAATAAATGGAATTGGATTCCTTTTACGTTCCTGTTGATTCTATCATCACATCATCATCATCATCATTGCAAGCATGTATTCAGTGCTCACTGTATGCCAGGCATTGTAGTAAATCCTTTACTTGAAAATCTTATTTAATTCTCACAACTCTATAAGGTCTTATCATCCTCCTATTTAGATAAGAAAACAAAGAGACAGAGAAACTAAGTAATTTACCCAAGTACACAACAACTAACCTCCTAGTCACACTGCAATCCTGTAATGATAGGAGATTGATAGAGCTGCACACCTAATGATTCCACACTACTTTACAAAGCGAAGACCTGGGAACCTTACGTAACTTATTTAAGGCCCCACAGCTGGTTCATTTCAGGAGTTAATTGCTTATGTGTTTCTTTTAAAGTTAATCCTCACAAGAACCTAAATTTTACAGATGAAGAAACAGAATGCAGGGTCCAAGAGCCATCAGATAGTTGGCAGGAACTTGAACCCATGATGAACAATGGAGTATTTGCTCCTGGCACCCACACTATCAAAACTTTCTTTGAGTAGAGCCTATCCTAGGGCCCAGATTTTCAGGGTGCAGATTTGGCTTAAAGAAAGTATTCAAGTGCAACACCATATGATAGAAATAGGATGTGAGCTATACACACAACGGTAATGCTTCAGATAGCCACATAAAAATAAGTTTAAAAAACAGGCAATATTAGTCTGTTCTCACACTGCTATAAAGAACCGCCCAAGACTGGGTAATTTATAAAGGGAAGAGGTTTAATTGACTCACAGTTCAGCATGGCTGTGGAGGCCTCAGGAAACTTAGAATCATTGTGAAGGGCAAAAGGGTTAACAAGGTACCTAAGTCACAAGGCAGCAGGAGGGAGAAATGAACACAGGAGAAAACACCAAACAGGGATGAAACCATTAAATCTCATGAGAACTCACTCGCTATCATGAGAACAGCATGGGGGAAACTTGCCCCATTATCCAATCACCTCCACCTGGTCTCTCCCTTGACACATGGGGGTTATGGGGATTACAATTCAAGATGAGATTTTGGGTGAGGACACAGCTAAATCATATCACATATCACAGACCAAATTATTAAGAAGGTAAAAAAACTGAAGACAAGAAAAGCATGGATAAAGGAAGAGCTCTGCACTTAGAGTCAAGAGAGCTGAATTCAAATCTCCCACCTGCCACTAACTGTGTGTCTCTGTGAAACCTATACAAAGTCAAAGATTTTGCTGCTTCCCTCTGTGACTTGATGCTCTAAGAGAATCAAGCATCCTCAGCACTCCATGACCTTACATGCTTCCTGCCTTGTTCAGGCTTGACTTTTATCTGAATGTTCCTTCTGCTCTCCCTACTACTCATCTATTTGCAAGAAGGCTGCTTATCCAAATAATACTGACACAATAACTGATTTAGTTAAGCCAATACTTACTCACTAGTGCCTCATTTAAAAAAGGCCACTACTAATCAAATATTTTTTCCTAAAAGCTATTAATTCAGTTAAATAAATGAGTCTGTATTCTCTCTCTCTCTCTCCTCTCTCTTTCTGTGTATGTGTGTGCGTGTGAATTTTTCCCACAGTATAGTTGATAGTCGGATAAGTTGTATTGTTGGTTCATAAAAGTGCCAGAGAGTTCTGAGCATCTAGGGGGGCTCAGTAATAGATAAATATCCTGAAATAAAATCCGTAGCCACAGTAGGGCCCTCAATAGACCTGAGTTTACATTTTGCAAAATAATATCACCAACTTAATGGTCAGTCTTCATATTGTCACTTTCTTTCTACACATTGACTCTGTTTTCCCTTTCCCCTTGCTCTCATATATTCTAATGCCTATTTTGCTGGTAATTTCCAAATTAGTATTTCTGGCCCCAACCTCACTTCTGATCCCCAGACTTAAACAACCAAATGTTCCTTTTATATCTCTTTAATGCCTCATAACATGAACATGTCCTAAACAGATCCATGGTTCTTTCCTGGAGTGTCAGAAAAAGAAAATAAGGCAATTGAATAAGGAGCACATGAGTAAGTAAATAGGTTGTATTTGTTCATTTTCACTCTGCTATGAAGAAATACTCAAGACTTGATAATTTATAAAGAAAAGAGGTTTAATTGACTCACAGCTCTGCATGGCTGGGGACGCCTCAGGAAACTTACAATCATGGCAAAAGGCAACTCTTCACAGGGTGTCAGGAGAGAGAATGAGTGCCGGGTGAAGGGGGAAGCTCCTTATAAAACCATCAGACCTCATGAGAACTCACTCACTATCAAGGACAGTATGAGAGAAACTGTCCCCATGATTCAAATATCTCCACCTGGTCTCACCCTTGACACATGGGGATTATTACAATTCAAGGTGAGATTTGGGTGGGGACACAGAGCCAAACAATATCATAGGTAGATGTAATAAAGAAAACATATAAAAAAGCTGCTCTCACTGAGAACAGGGCTCTGTAGCCTGCACTGACATTGCTGAAACTCAGATGTCTGTCTTGCTGTGACTGATTCTGTATGCCTCCACCTTCTTCTGGATACTGAGTCTGACCTGATGTCTCCTAGAGCACATCCAATTGCAGCAGCCAGGGAATGTGCCCACTTGCCTTCACTGCAAAGAAATCTGATAAAAATTCCATGTTCCTGATTGTGGAGCTTGTCCTGCAGCTCATGTGCTTGGATGATCAGAATCAAACTCAACCAGATCCTCACAGAGTCCACTAATGCTGCAGATATGCATATATATATATATATATATATATATATATATATATATAATCTCGCATATATATCTCTCTCTCATATATATGCATTTGGGTGGGGAAGTTGTGATCCACTCTGAGTTCCCAGTTTCAGCAAATAAATAAGCACATCATCCATCCAGTTTTTAAGCCTGAATCTTAGGAGTAACTGTTGATCCTCTCACACTTACTAGCAAATCCCCATTCTTTCCATTCCGAAGACCTCTTGAGCCTATCTTGAAAAGTTTACACCATCTTTACTTTTTTCTCATCTTTTACTGCCAACAATAGTGTGACCCCTATCATCTCTCACCTGGATTATTTAAATGGCCTCCTGACTGGTCTCAGATCTTCCAGTCTCACTGTCTGCTACATTCTATTTCTCCACAGAGCACTCAGAGTATACTATTAAAAATACAAACCAGATGACGTCAGTCCATGGCTAAAACTAGCCAGTGTCTTCCCATTACACTTCAAGTAAATGCCAAATCCCCTTCTCAGGCCTGCAAAGTCCTGGATGACCTAGCCCCTGTGTGTAATTACCATTGACATTGTATTTCTCTTCCCCCTCTGCGATCCGTCTGCACCAGTCTCATTTCAAATCTTACTCTACACTCTGGCACTTTGAACTTTGCTTTCTCTGCTTTGTTTCCTCTACAACTATGTTTATTGGGGGTTCTTTTCTTCCTTTGAATCTATTTGAAACATCACTGTATTAGAAGATTTCCTTATCATTATTTTATGTATAATTTCAGCCTCTCTTATTTTTTCTTGCTAACATGTAATTCAGAATAATTTTAAATATTTAAATATTTGCCTTTTAACTTGGATATGGTTATTCTAGGCTATAATGCAAAATTTATAAGGGTTTTTTTTTTTTTCAATTGTTTTTCACGTTCGTCCTTGTTGTCTAACATTGCTGAGGAAACTTAGTAGGTATTCAGTAAATATTTTTTGAAGAAAGAAAGAGAGGGAGAGAGGGAGGGAAGGAGGAAAGGAGAAACAAACACATGGACAAATGAGGAAAGGAAGGATAAAAGGGAGAGAAGGAGGCAGTTAGATAGGGCTTAATTTAATGGATCTTCATATAACTCCTGTATATTGAGCCACATGAGTTGAATTAATCATCAAGGATTTTTGTGTGATAATCAAACAAAGCAATTATAAACAGTAAAGCACCATGCAAATCACAGCCATTAATGCTTGTTAGTGACCCTTCCCTGCCTACCTCTCCAAGGCTGTCTCTTACTCTTCAGTGTTCAGACAAACAGGATGCAACTTCTCTCCTAGACTGTGTCCACTCCTCTGAGTGCCTGCTTTATTTTCTCTGCCTTAATGCCTACTCACCCTTTAAAATCTCCTCCATAGCTTTTTTAGAATGCCTAATTTTCCTGCATTTTGAGTTAGAAATCTCCCATTTATATTTTATGGGGTCCTACATGCCTGTGGTAAGAGTGTGGCAGTAAGCCACTGCCCTAATCACATCGTTTGATAAGACTCTGTATGCGAACCTGTCCTCTGATTGGTGAAGAGCTGCTTGAGGGATATAAGCCTTATTCATTATAACACTAGCACTTAGCAAAATAACTGGCAGATAACTGGCAAAGAGTAAATATTAAATCAACATATGAAAAGGTGATTGAATAAGGAGTGCATGAGTGAATAAATAAATATTTTATACCTGCGGAACACAGGCGCTATACTGTTAACATTTTCATACACTTTCTAGAACCTAGTGTCTTAAATATAATAGGCATATAAATTCATGGAAGCTATATTTTTGGACGTATGTTTATTTCTCTACAGAAGAACCACTTTCTGTCTCTCTTTTTTTTTTTTTTTTTTCTTTTGAGATGGAGTCTCATTCTGTAGCCCAGGCTGGAGTGCAGTGGCGCGATGTTGGCTCACCACAAGCTCCACCTCCCGGGTTCACATCATTCTCCTGCCTCAGCCTCCCAAGTAGCTGGGATTACAGCCGCCGCCACCACACCCAGCTAATTTTTTTTTTGTATTTTTAGTAGAGATGGTTTTTCACCGTGTTAGCCAGGATGGTCTCGATCTCCTGACCTCGTGATCCGCCTGCCTTGGCCTCCCAAAGTGCTGGGATTACAGGCGTGAGCCACTGTGCCCAGCCAGAAGAACTACTTTCTCTACGGCTATGTGGCCCAATCAGACTTCAAACAAGGGTATTCTGCACATCAAGAAAAACCAACAGGTATTATTCTAGAGACATCCACTGCCTGAGCAAGAGCAGAGTCCTTAATTTACTCTGACAACTTCTCTTAAGTAGCCAAAGTGAATTGGAATCTTTCCCTTGAGACATTCATTGGAAAACACAATTTGGATTAGTCTAATAACTGAATGTCAACTGACTTCCAAAACAAAGCAGTGAGGCACGCTTCCCTCTTTACAAATCAAGTAACCCAGAGAGTACAGCCTCAGTAACCACTAATAAGGGTTCTCAGAGGATTGAGGCCAGCCAGGAAATTGCTTTTACCTACAGGCTAAAGTGCATAAACCTTAACTTGGCATCCACAGTCTTTTAGAAGTTGACCCTGACTTTCTCAATCATTAGAACATGAGGTGAAATCCCACAAGCATTTCTAAAGAAGCACAGGAGAGAGAACATTTCAGGTAGAAGGGACAATTTGAATAGAGGTGGGAATGTTGGTTAAGGACAGCAAATCAGGAATGTTTGTAAGGTGTGTATGTGGGAGGAATTAAAAATAAAACAGAGAAACAATGGCTTGGCTGTGGAACATCTTGTATATTAGGTGAAGGATGATGGTTTATATCAATAGGCTATAGAGAGCAATACACAGGTCTTTGATAAAGGGCAAATCCTATTTGGGGCAGAAAAATGTACCTCAAATCAGATTATTTATTATGGGTAGTGCAGAAACATGTATCAGAGAATAAAAGGAGAGGGCCTGCTTATATCATAACCGAACACTTGGTACAAATGTTTCTTGGACTTCTGGTACAAATAAGATGGCATAGCTTTTCCTTGTTCCTCTCCAGGAAATGCCACTATAAACCCCAGAACTGGTGGAAGAGATAACCATAGGAGAACTCTAAGGGGTGTAGGAAGAGGGCGAGCTGATTTGGAACTCCAAGGCTGGAAGAACAGCACAGCACAGCAGCAGGGCATGTTTTATCCTGTCATCCAATTGAGGAAGGCCACCCAGACCTGGCATTTACTAATCCCTGACTTACCAACAGAGGATAGCTCAGGTAGGCTCATTCTGCCTGCAAATCCAACTGGAGCCTTTCTGACAACACCAGTTTATCCCAAAACCACCGTCAAAAGGGGTTGATTGGTAGACCCTAAAATAGTAGGAGTCCAGGCAAAGAGTTCTTCTTTCCCATTGGGCCTGAGACTGACTTTTTCCATTGAAAGATTCTGTATGGGTCAGGCATGATTGCAGGAATGACCCAGTAAAGCAAGCAGCCAAGTCCAGGGAGCCTCTTTGTTCCCACAGATCCAAGACTGTCCTTCCCCATCCAGAGACACCAGAAGAATCAGGGGCTTCAGTAAGTGGGGATCCCGCTATACCTTTCACCAGTGAAAGACACCTAGTGGCTAGACTTGAGAACCCCACTTCTGCAACCTGAGGGAGCACTAGCCAGAACCAGTGGGAACCCAGCAGCACCGCACCAAGTAGATGAGAGTAACACTGTAAAGGTTCTGCAAATTAAACTCTCCTTGAAACCACAGCTCATGAATTAGGCCAAAGGCTGCATTCTAAACCTAGACTAGATGACTGCCTGCAAAAATAAAATATTTAAATAGAAACAAAACTATTCTAATGTAACAGACAAAATGTCCAGGAGGATATAGCTGAAAATTACCTTTAATATCATACCCCACCACCACCAAATCATAACTTGAATAAGAAAATCAACTGATGCCATACTGAGATGAATCAGATGTTGGAATTACATGACACAAATTTTTTAAAAGTAGTTATAAAAATGTTCCAAAATTCAATCACAAATTATTTTGAGACAAATGAAAGACTGAAAAATCTCAGCAAAAGAAGTTACTAAAAAATAGCCAAATGGAAATTAAGAAACTAAAAACTACAACATAGAAAATATCTCATTGTGTGGACTTAATACAAGTGAAAGTGATTTACCATATAGCTGCAGTAATTAAGATTGTGTTGTGTTACTAAATGGTTAGACACATAAATCAATAGAATAAAACTAAGATCCTAGAACAAGATGCACACATATATGTTTAACTGATTTTGGCAAGGGTAAGAAGCTGACTTAAAGGAGGAAAGATGATCTTTTAAACACATAAGGCAGGGGCATTTGGTCATTCATAGGCCAAAAAATTGTACTTCAATGTAAACCTCACACATCATAAAGTAATCAACTCAAAATTGATCATAGACTTAAATGTAAAACATAAATCTATAAAACTTTAAGACAAAAGAGGAAAATCTTTAAGATCTAAGAATAGTCTAAGAGTTCTCAGACTAGACACCAAAAGCATAATCCAAAAAAGAAAAAAATTGATAAATTGCATCTCATCAGTGGCTACAAAAAAAAGTTCTTTCCTTTTTTTTTTTGTCGGGGGGAAGAGGAATTGTTTTTTTTTCTTTTTTTTTTATTATACTTAAATTTTAGGGTACATGTGCACAACGTGCAGGTTTGTTACATATGTATACATGTGCCATGTTGGTGTGCTGCACCCATTAACTCATCATTTACATTAGGTATATCTCCTAATGCTATCCCTCCCCCCCTACCCCCACCCCACAACAGTCCCTGGTATGTGATGTTCCCCTTCCTGTGTCCAAGTGTTCTCATTGTTCAATTCCCACCTGTGAGTGAGAACATGCGATGTTTGTTTTTTTGTCCTTGCAATAGTTTGCTGAGAATGATGGTTTCCAGCTTCATCCATGTCCCTACAAAGGACATGAACTCATCCTTTTTTATGGCTGCATAATATTCCATGGTGTATATGTGCCACATTTTCTTAATCCAGTCTATCATTGTTGGACATTTGGGTTGGTTCCAAGTCTTTGCTATTGTGAGTAGTGCTGCAATGAGCATACGTGTGCATGTGTCTTTATAGCAGCATGATTTATAGTCCTTTGGGTATATACCCAGTAATGGGATGGCTGGGTCAAATGGTATTTCTAGTTCTAGATCCCTGAGGAATCGCCACACTGTCTTCCACAACGGTTGAACTAGTTTACAGACCCACCGACAGCGTAAAAGTGTTCCTATTTCTTCACATCCTCTCCAGCACCTGTTGTTTCCTGACTTTTTAATGATTGCCATTCTAACTGGTGTGAGATGATATCTCATTGTGATTTTGATTTGCATTTCTCTGATGGCCAGTGATGATGAGCAAGTCTATGCGAAGAAGAAGAAAAGTCTATGTGAAGAAGAAGAAAATACAACCTACAATCTAGGAGAAAATATTGCAAACTTTATATCTGGCAGAGGACTGGTGTTTAGTACATATAAAGAACTCTCTAGATTCAACAGTTAAAAAAGATGAAGAGACATTTCACTGAAGAGGATATGAATAAAACAAATAGCACATAAAAACAATGTCCAACATCATTAGCCATCAGAGAAATGCAAATTAAAACAACAATGATATATCACTATACCCCTATCAGAAGGGGTGAAATTAATAACAAAAAACATCATCACCAAATGCTGGTGACAATACAGAGAAAATGAATCAGTCATATATTGCTGTTGGGAATGTTTATTAATATACCCACTGAAAAACAGTTTGACAGTTCCATATAAAACTACACATAAATTTACCATATGACCAGACAGTTACATACTTGGGCATTTCTCCCAAAGGAATGAAAACTTATTTTCATACAAAAACCTGTACATGAGTATTCATATTAGCCTTATTTGTAATAGCCAGAAATATGAATGAGTCTGAATGTCCCTCAACAGTGGAATGGTTAACAATCTCTAGTACGTAGGTAGCATGGAATACTATGCAGCAATAAGGATGAATAAACAACAACTTGGGTGAATCTGCAGAGAATTATGCTCCATGAAGAGTAAATTCCTAAAGGTTAAATTCTGTATTATTAAATGTATACAGCATTTTGAAATGATAAAATGTTAAAAATGGAGAACAGATTAGTGGTTAGGAGTTAGTGACAGAGCTGGGCAGGGTGGAAAAAGTATAATTATGGGGATAGCTGTAAAAAGGCAAAATAAGGATCTTTGCGGTGTTGGGACTTCTTAGTATCTTGACTGTGGTGGTAGATACATGAGCCTACAAGAGTGATAAAATTATAGAGAACTTGATATACACATATATGCATAGAGTAAAACTGGGGCGATTTGAATCAGTGGACTGTATAAATCTCAAAGTCCTTGTTGCAATATTTAATATAGTTTTGCAAAATATTGCTATTGGAGGAAACTGAGAGAAGCATAGAAATTATATCTATGTAGTATTTATTGTAATTGTATGTGAATTTACAATTATCTTAATAAAAGTTTCAATTAAAACTGTTGCTTGACTTAATTTGGGAGCACTACATGAGTTGACTGAGAATATAGCTCTAAAGGAGTGACCAGGAGGAGTTGGGGTGACGATGTGTGTTGCTTTATATTGGCTGATCTTAGGAAAGTATTAAAAGAAAATGATGATGTTAGTCAATAACTGGCTACTTTATAAGTAGAAAAAGAAAGAGACAAGCGGCAGTTCAGACATTTGGGACCTTAAAGGGTTGGTAAAATCACCACTTCTGAGACCTCAAAATAGGAAGTAAGATTGAAAAAGCCTTGGATTGACAAAGATCCTTGAAGATTTAGCATTTTTGCAAAAAGTAGTGTCTCAGCTTAGTTGTCTTGAAAGCAGAGCCTGAGACAGTTTTATGTTTGGGTGTCTTATTTGAGTAAGAATGAAAGACTAGGAAAACAATGCAGGCAAGCAGAAAGTTCCAACCTAAGATATATAATGACAGAGGCCACTGCTGTGTGTGACAGGTGCCAATCAAAACAAGACCTTCTGAGAAGGCTTATGCAATGTGCCTCAGAATGTCAACCCATTAAGTGGAAAGTAAGAGGCATGGGGAAGGAAGGAACAAGTAGATTATAACCCTCTTACTTTGGGGATAAATCATATTGTAAAAATACTACCAAACAGCCCTTGATTCTTTGATGTTTGCTTATTTATTATACTTTAAGTTCTGGGATACATGTGCAGAACGTGCAGGTTAGTTACATAGGTATACGCGAGCCATGGTGGTTTGCTGCACCCATCAACCCATCATCTCCCAGTGCTATCCCTTCCCTAACCTACCACACCCCGACAGGCCCTGGTGTGTGATGTTCCCTGCCCTGTGTCCATGTGTCCTCATTGTTCAACTTCTACTTATGAGTGAGAGCATTCAGTGTTTGGTTTTCTGTTCCTGTGTTAGCTTGCTGAGAATGAGGTTTCCAGACTTGGAACCAACCCAAATGCCCATCAATGATAGACTGGATAAAGAAAATGTGGCACATATACATCATGGAATACTATGCAGCTATAATAAAGGATGAGTTTACGTCCTTTGCAGCGACATGGATGAAACTGGAAACCATCATTTTTGATATTTAAAACAGCTCTCAAGGCCAGGAGTAGTGGCTCCTACCTGTAATCCCAGCGCCTTGGGAGTCCAAGTGGGTGGATCACCTGAGGCCAGGAGTTTGAGACCAGCCTGGCCAACATGGAGAAACTCTGTCTCTACTAAAATTACAAAAATTAGCTTGGCATGGTGGTGGATGCCTGTAATCCCAGCTACTTGGGAGGCTGAGGCAAGAGAATCATTTGAATCTTGGAGGCGGAGGTTGCAGTGAGCCAAGATCATGCCACTGCACTCCAGCCTGAGTGACAGAGCAAGACTCCATCTCAAAAATAAAAATAAAATAGCCTTCAAGACTCCATATGTATACCAGCAGAAATGGACTTTACAGATTTACAGAAACCTGTCAGATCTGAAATATGCACCCTGGAAAATGGACAAGAAAATACTCCCAGAGGATAGAGCAAATATCCATAAAGAACAAGGGACAACGATGTTTCTTCCAAAGAGCAGAAACAGGATTTAATTAGGAAATGCACCTGCTTTCTCAGGGTGGATGACCTTCATAAAGCCTGTTCAGTGGGACATCCAAATTGCTGCAGACCAGTTTCTTCTGTGGTTTCTCATTCATTCACTTTCTGATTTAGAATTTCTTCAAAATTGAGGAAGATTGGAGGATAGACAATTTCTTTTTCTTTAAAATAAATTATTGAATGATAGGAAGACCTATCCAGATCTGATGGAAAAGCTGAGCACCTCTTGGAGATGCTCCATATTAGATTTTGAACAGGATGCATTGGGATGTGAAATATCCAGCTTGATTCTCTTGGGAAAGGTATGAGAGTTTTGCTGTGGGCGAGACAAGGGAAACAGATGCTTTGGCAGTGATCAGAAGGGTGGACTGAGAACTGAGAACACTGTCCACCTTTTTCTCTTTTTGGGCACACAGCTAGACTACATTTTACAACTTCCCTGCAACTACACAGAGGTGACATCCAGCCAGTGAAATGTGAGTAGGATTAACTTGCTTAATGCTTAGAACTGACCCATTAAATAACAAATCTCCCATAGATAATTTGTAATTCTCTTTTTCTATTTGTAGCTGTGTGGAAAGACTTCAAAGAACTTAAATGTAGGTGGAGACAAAGATAGAGAAAGACTGGTTTCCAAACATCTTTGAAAATGCAGATTCCTCTTGCTAATCCATACTGAACTCTAATTTATGTTGTACGGTAAAGAAAATACATTTTTCAGATGCAATTCAAGCCTCTAATCGATTGACTTTAACTTAATCAAAAGCGATATTATTCTGGGTGGACATTACCTAGTCATATGATCCCTTTCTGAGTGACTACATGTCATTCTTGGAGCAGAAGACTCTTTCCATTGCTGGCTTTGAAGAAGCAACGTGCCATGAATCCTATAGCCACAGGAAGTTAATTTTCTAACAGTCTGATGGAGCTTGGAAGCAGATTCTTCTCCAGCTGGGCCTCCAGGTGAAGAAAAGTCCTGGTGAACACCTGGATTTCAGCCTGGTGGTACCCTGAGCAGAAGACCCAGTTAAACTCTACCCACACTTCTGAGCTATAGAAATTGTGAGATAATGAATGTATGAAAGCATGCAGTTTTAAGATGCTAAATTTGTGGCTTTTTTTATGCAGCACTAAAAAACTAATGCAGTTACCTTGCCTAATATAAATCTTAATTATTTTCCAAAAAAAAAAAAATCTCATGAGGGTCTTCTTAAAGCAAAGAGTCTTTCCCTTATTTTTTTCATTATTTTCCCTTATTTTCTGATATAACCTCAGAAAAAGTTAAATAGAAAAGAACCCCTGGTGTGTAGCATTTTCTCTTTCACAGCTTTGTCTCTCTTAAATCTAACTGATCTATTGTTGTGCATTACTTTTTAGAATTTTATCATACTGATGAATCACTTGAGATATAATTAACTACACTTTTTCTCTTTATATCAGCTCTCATTTTTACTTATTTAAGTCTATGCAAAGAGTGAGTTAGCTATGATAACACTAGCTGCTATAAGAAATAAATAATCAAATCTCAATGACTTAGCAGAGTAAAAGTTTATTTCTTCTTATGAAACATTCTAAAGATGAATATGCTCCAGCAACTAACCTGTGCAACTGTCTTCACAAGGCATTGATTCAGAACCTTTTTTTTTCTAAGTTTTATATCTCAGTGGTCTTCAACATGCAGTTTCTAAAATAGTCCTGGTGTTCATCTCCATATCATCCAATCTGTGGGTAAAAGAGAATGAAGAATCATACATAGAAAGTTTCTATGTGCTAGGCTTTGAAGTGGTTCCCATTATATCTGTAAACAATTTCATGTACTCTAACTAGTCCTGGAGATATGCCTAATTACAAGGGCTGAGACTGACTTCTCATGGGTTGAGGCCAGGGATGTTGATAATTATTCTCTAAAGCACAGGGCAGGCCCCCGCAGTGAAGAGTTGTCTGGTCCCAAATATCAACAGTGCCAAGACTGAGAAACCCTGGAATAGAGTAAATAGCAACTGATTTGTAAATTCTCATATTATTTATTTATATTGGAAAAACCTGAAGCATATCCTATGTGCCAGTTACTGCTGTATGTTCAGTGATGCAGAAGTGATAAGACAGACAGAGCCCTTTTCCTCATATGTTCTGGCTTATTACATATTAGGCCCTGTTAACCTCCCTGAAATTTATGTTTCTTACCAATGAAGTAAGAGTTAATATAGCTCACAGGGCACATATGGAGTTTAAATGAGACAATGCATGTATAACGGGATGTTAAAATGGAACTCTTCATGCTTCATGAGGCATGAATTCAACAGATGCTACATTCCAAAGTGAACTGGGACAGAACACCATGGAAAAATAACTGGTTGCATAGCTGTCACAAAATGATACTACAAAAGGGTAGACAGAGTAGTGATCCAGGAGTCTGCAAAGGAGACTTCTGGAAAGGACATTGGGGCTGATGCAAGTGTGGAGAGGTAGGAGACTGATAAGTAGACTGTAGCAGTGCAGTGCGGTTTGACATGTGTTCCTGTAGTTGAGGCAGAGGGGCAAGAGTGGGTGCTGATCCATGCCTGAGAGTATTGCCATAACTTTAGGCTGCAGGGTGGAGGGCCGCACCTGGGAAGTAAAGTCAGGTCACTCTCTCTGAGAGCCAAACATACATGGGGCTTTAGGACCAGATGAGGTAGGATGGGAACCCTGGATCCTCTCTAAAGAGGTCCTGCCAGAAAGGGCAGCCTTCCAGGGTGACAAAACCTAGCAGTAAT
The DNA here is from genome assembly GCF_000001405.40 of Homo sapiens. NCBI lineage: Eukaryota > Metazoa > Chordata > Mammalia > Primates > Hominidae > Homo > Homo sapiens. Next base: position 136,164,187 of record NC_000008.11, on the reverse strand, counting down.
GGGCTGTGTAGGTTTTTGGTATGGCAGAAGCCCAATGGTAATTTGGGAGGAGACAACCAAAGGAGGCCACATCATAGGAATCGCAGTGGTAGAATACCAGAAACTCACAAAAACACTCTCCCAAAAAACCGAAAGGGCAAGCTCTACTCATCTGCCAAATGTGAAAACAACAGATACAAACTTTGTTGTTCACAGTACTTCAACTCTCACCTCTCTGCTTGGAGGGGTCAGAAAACTATTTTATGAGTTTGGGGCCGGGTGCGGTGGCTCACGCTTGTAATCCCAGCACTTTGGTAGGCCGAGGCGGGTGGATCGCAAGGTCAGGAGATCAAGACCATCCTGGCCAACATGGTGAAACCCCATCTCTACTAAAAATACAAAAATTAGCTGGGCGTGGTGGTGCATGCCTGTAATCCCAGCTACTAGGGAGGCTGAGGAAGGAGAATAGCTTGAACCATGGAGTCGGAGGTTGCAGTGAGCTGAGATCATGCCACTGCACTCCAGCTTGGGTGACAGAGCGAGACTCTATCTCAAAAAAAAAAAACAAACAAACAATTTTATAAGTTTGGAGAGAGAAAGACCCAGTGGGGGCGGTTGGGGGGGGGGCGGTGGGGAAGTAGGAGGACATTGCCACCCTCTCTCACTTTAAATGGGCGGTTCAAAGTCAATGCCAGCTTGTAGAGGACAGAAGATTTGAAACTAAATCAAGTTCAGGAAATTAGTCAAGACAGACTAGATAGATGAGATGACAAACTCCACAAAGCCAGTCAATTCACACCACACATCTGCATTTCTCCTCCTATAACATGTCTAAATTTTGTCAGTGGGTATGCATATGTGTTAGGTAGAGGGGTTGGCAGGACTCTGGTTCACAGCTTCCCTTTTTTTTTCATATTCCAATGGCCAGAATTCAACAAGTAGGCAGCAAACCTAATTGCAATGAAAGTTAGGAAATATTATTTTTCTAAGTGCCCAGGATGTAGAGAGTTAGATGAGTGAGCACTTGTAAGCTCCCAGCTTTCCAAGTTAAAATTCACGGAGACTGGACATTTTCAATTGCTGACTTCAGATGGTGTTTGCAAATAAAGTGTAATCAAGGAAGTCAGGGAAAGTCACTAAGGGGAAGCAAAAATATGGCTAGCCCTAAATGGGTTTAAAAGGGTTAGAAGCAAATATAAAGTGGTTTTATTAGACTCCATGAGTCCAACAAGCTTGACTTTCTGGTGACATGAATAAAACACTAAACATGTTAAAACACACATAGTAGGCACTATGGGAGGATTTCCTTCCTGTCTTTCTCTTGTCCATGGGCAAATAAAGTTTCAGTGTCTGCCTGATCCCAGATGTAAAGAAAAATCATATCCAATGCAATTTCATTTTCGTTAACACTTGTCATTTCCTTAGCACCCACTTTAAGCCACATGCTTTGCAATACCACTTTGATTTTCTCTATATGACAATTAGTGGGTGGCCCCATGTTTCTGCAATGGGATGGCGTACGACTATAGAATGTGAGGATACACAAAGTCATAACTTTCTTGATCAATAGTTTTACTCAAATATTGAGCAAGTAACCTCACTTGTAAGAAATAGCAAATATTATATGTATTTTGGAGGACAGAGTGTTTGTGTGTATGTGTGTTTAATTTTTTACCTGGATAAATGTGTCAGAAAATTCTTCTGTTTTCTGAAGAGGAAATCATCTCTGAGTCACTGAAGAAAAAGCAAATTAATCAGTGGATATAGAACATTCTGATGAACACAGATGAAACCCACCCTTTCATGACTATAAGCTAATTCTATACTCTGGGGAGGAATGTTATAAGATTGTTAATATACTGAGGCAAAAAAAAATAAGAGCTGCTTTGAGTCCTATGGATGTGACTCTCTGAGAGAAAAATATCAACAGGAATTTAGGATTTACATAGAGGCATATGTGTGAAACCCATTCAGAGCCAGGATTTGGAGAGCAACCGATGGCTCAGGTAAAGGCATGGTACACAGCTGAAAGTCATGGTGAGAAAGTGAGTCAGCTTCCTCGAACTCCACATCATGGAACACCAACACATTCTCATCAAGGTTACTCACAGCATCATTTGAGACATGGAGAACCAGCTCATTCTAAATCTAGATGACAGTGATAAACTGATTGAACAAAAGTACTCTACTCATTTGAGCATGGAAGGCCATCTGACCCAAAATGCACCCAATATTTGCTTGCATTTTAGATCATTTTCATAGGATATCTTCTGAAAGGGGGATTACTGAATGAACAGTGTCATCATTTAAAAAATAAGCATTTTAAAAGATTAAAATTTTTTAAAACCTGCTTACAAAGAATGTGTGCGTTGACCGGGTGCAGTGGCTCACACCTGCAATCCCAGCACTTTGGGAGGCCGAGGCAGTAGATCATGAGGTCAGGAGATCGAGACCATCCTGGCTAACACGGTGAAACCCCGTCTCTACTAAAAATACAAAAAATTAGTCGGGCGTGGTGGCGGGTGCCTGTAGTCCCAGCTACTGGGGAGGCTGAGGCAGGAGAACGGTGGGAACCCGGGAGGCAGAGCTTCCAATGAGCCAAGATTGCCCCACTCCAGCCTGGGCGACAGAGCGAGACTCCGTCTCAAAAAAAAAAAAAAAAAGAATGTGTGTGGGGATGACAGTAAATGAAATGAATGAAATGCACAGCTCAGTTTTTTTTTGGGTCATTGCTAAACACGTTTTTAGTTATATTATACTTGGTTATATTGCTACACACGATATAACTAAGCATCTTCCATGCTGTCCAGATTTTCTTGTTGAGAACAGGTGGGTGTGTGCAACTCATGGGAGGAATACTGTGGTTTTCTAACTCTTTTTTCTTCTTCTTCTTCTTTTTTTTTTGTTGTTATTGTTGTTGTTTTGTTTGTTTGGTTTTTTTGAGATGGAGTTTCACTCTTGTCGCCCAGGCTGGAGTGCAGTGGCACAATCTCGGCTCACTGCAACCTCCGCCTCCCGTGTTCAAGCAATTGTCCTGCCTCAGTCTCCTGAGTAGCTGCGATTACAAGCACCTGCCACCATGCCCAGCTAATTTTTTTTTGTATTTTTGGTATAGATGGGGTTTCGCCATGTTGGCCAGGCTGGTCTTGAACTCCTGACCTCATGTGATCCACCCACCTTGGCCTCCCAAATTGCTGGGATTACAGGCATGAGCCACCACGCCCGGCCTCTAACTCTTCTTTCTTTGCAGAAAACTCCTGGTCTCTTTTCCTCACTCCCTTTGCCATTCACTTTCCTCCTCTTTCCTCCATGCCCCTGTCCTCCCACACCAGTAATTAGACACAAAGTGCCACCCTCAATCCATCAGCACATTGCACAGAGCTCCTTGGGGGCAGCTCCCTTACATCTCTCTCCCCACATGTAGTTGGTCTCAGCTGAAGAAGAAAAGACATTACTTTAGGTGACCAGGTACAGATACAACTCATATTTCTTCAGGGTTCCAGGGGACCCTCTCAGAAAAAGCAGGAAACTTTACCCTAGTAAATGGATAAAGGGAATATTTGGGAAAAGTGAGAGATTGACCAAAACAAAAAGGAGCTACAAACCTTGGCTCTAGGGCAACCTTGAAGATGAGAATCTGTGCCTTTATCAATATCATTATAGCCAGAATATTAATAGAGCTTCTCCTCTGTGGTAGGGAGTCTATAAACCTTACTTCATTTAATGTCTCCAATGACCTTTTGATGTAGATACTACTATTTAGGATATGCTCACAATAAATTTGAGACCCAGAAAGTTAAGCAAGTTTTGCCAAGGTCAGGCAGCTGTACCTATGTATTAGATTGGTGCAAAAGTAATTGTGGTTTTTGCCATTACTTTTAACGGCATTATGGAACAATGACACAGAGTCTCCCCATCTCCCTGGTTCCCACATCATGACTAGTCTTCTCCCTGGATCTGCTCTATAAGGCACTGGGGTCTGTGTTGCATCCTAGGTCAAAAACTCAGAAACTAGATCCTGGAAACCCTCATTCACTTTCCCACCTTCATGAGCTAGGTTGATGATACCTCTGAGAATCTTTTCTGCCAGAGGAAAGTAATAACTTCTGAGGTTTTCAATAGAATTCATGAAGGAAGATTTTAATTCCAGGTCAAGAAAAACAGTTAGTGTAAAAAGCCCCAAGCAAAGCTAAACTCTAATGATCATCTCTGTACTGATTGCTTTAAATCTTTTCCAAAACGAGGCCAGCTATAAATAAATACATGAATTGATAGCAGCCGTGAAGATAATACAAAACACTAAGAATAGTGAACAGCAATATTTTCTAAACCAATGTCTCATGGGATACTAGCTCAATGAAATTATCCGTTAAAAAAGAGAAAGGATTATATGGTCATGTTGTTTGGTAAATGGTCAGAGCTTAGAAACTGATATTAGCATTATGAAAATTCTCAGAAGTCTGGTAAGACTATAGTTAACTTGGCTTAACCCAGCAATTTCTAAAATCTCTTAGTCACAGAACCAAGTTTTCTGTAGAATGAATGCTCTTAATAACATATACTGTGTTATGTCTGTCCTGCAGAAACTTGTTGATAATGCCAGTCGGGAGACACCTCTATTTCTCTTCCCTGCCCATGGTTCAAACCCCTTTATTTAAGACCTCTAAAACCAGCTACATCTGGCCTACTGATAGAAGACAGGATCAGGGAAGTGCTGGGTGGAGAAGGGTGGGGTCCCTGGCAAGGGCTCCACCCTCAAGCCTGTGCCCACGGATTTAAGTGAGAACAGGCACTCCTGCTTTTGCGTCCAAATGTCGTGTTTTCCAAGACCACTCTGGCCCACCATATCCCCATCCTGTGCCCATAAGAACTCAAGACCCTAGCAGGCACAGACACAAGTGGCTGGACTTCGAGAGGAGCAGAAGAGCACGTCGACAAACACCAGCAGACACTGGCAGGCCATTGATGGCAGGACAAGGAAGAATTCAGCCCAGGAGGTGGGAGGAGGGTCCAGCTGACTCCAGGGGAAGATCATCTTCCCACTCCATTCCCCTTATGGTTCCCTATCCACCTCACTGAGAGCAACCTTCACCACCCAGTAAAACCATGCACCCATCCTCGAAGCCCACATGTGATCTGATTTTTCTGGTACACTGGGGCCAGAAGCCGGGATACGGAAAGCCCTCTGTCCTTGAGATAAGGCAGAGGGTCTAACTGAGCTGCAGACAGCAAAACTGAAAGGGCGCACTGTAACACACACCCACTGGGGCTTTGGGAGCTGTAAACACTCAACCCTAGATGCTGTTGTGGGGTTGGAGCCCAAAAACGCTCCCCACGATCTGCCCATCTGCATGGTCCCCCTAGGGGTTTGAGCAGCAGGGTACTGAAGAAGTGAGCCACATCCCTATCACACATCCTGTGAGGGGGATAAGGGAACATTCCCATTTCACTGCCATCACAGCTAATCAAAGACTGCAATGAGGACAGCATAAATCCAAATCTAGTCTATGGCTCTTCTCTTGGCCACTCCATTTCCTTTTCCTTCACTCTGACTACTCTGACTTCTTGGGTTCTGATTGGGCTTTTTTTTATTGACCTCGCCCTTTGGATTATCTGGATGGAAGCTTGTCCTTTGAGCTCTAAGCCAAGTGGCCTTGATATTTGATCTTGACACTTCTTCTCTGACCTATGAGTTTTCCATTCTAGTATATCTTCCTTCTAACAATTCAACAAATTGTCACTGAAAACCTGCACTGAATGAACCTAAAGGTGAATAGGGCAGACAGGTAAGTTCACAGGGGTTAAGTTTGTAAATTATAGCTGGACAAGCCAGGGCTCATAGGGCAGTGTAGTAAGCATCATGGAAGGGAAATCGCATGCTGATTACAAAGAGCATCTAACCTAGACTTGGAGGTTAAGAGAAGACTCTGAAGAGGACATGGCGTGTCCTCTAGATTATGAGAGTGAATAGCAATGTCTAAGTGAAACAAGCAGAAGCTGAATCCAAGTGCTGCAGGCAGAGGGAACTACGAGGGCTAAAGTCAGGCGCTAAGAGAGAGACGAATCTTAGAGGAAGAAAAATAATTTTCTTCAACTGAAAAATGTGGTTTGAGGAGTTGAGTAGTGAGGCATAAGGTTTGATAGTAAAGGATAGAGAATGTGTGCCCTGGACACACCCATCCAGTCCTAGGACTGGATGCTTGGCCAGGCCTGTCTTCTGGGGCAATCATCACCTGAGAATGTAGTAGAATTATCCAACTCCTGAGCTCCACCAGATGTAGGCAATAATGATCTTTTTCTTCTGATCAGAATCCTGCCCCTCTGTCCAGCTCTTCAGCCAATTGAAGTAAACAACAGATGCATTTCAGAGGCCTCATCCCTACCACTCCAAAGTGAAATAGGATGAGAAGTGTGGAGGCTGAAGCCAGGGTTTCCATATATGTGGGGTCCCTACAGCGAGCATGGCTTTGAGCTCCCTCTCATCTACCATTTCATCTGATTCTGTAAGTGTTAAACCTACATATATAAACACACATATATGAGAATATGGAGCATGAGAGAGATTCAGTAACTCACCTAAGGATATACAGATTCTAAATCATAGTTGGAATCCAAACACTGATCTATTAAAACCTATCATCTTTCTATCAAGCTCAAGCTATCTCACTTCAATGACATGTGGGTTTTCTTGTTGGTTTATTAATAGCAGTGATAGTAACGTAATAGCATCTAACATTGATTAAATGTCTTTTTTTGGACCAGGACCTTTATTAGGTGTTTTGTATTCATCATCTTATTTAAACTTAACAACACTCCATGAAATAAATATTATTGGCTGGACATAGTGGCTCATGGCTGTAATCCCAGCAGGTCGAGGCAGGCTGATCACTTGAGGTCAGGAGTTCAAGACCAACCTGGCCAACATAGTGAAACCCTGTCTCTAGTAAAAATACAAAAACACTTAGACTGGCATGGTGGCATGCACCTGTAGTCCCAGCTACTTGGGAGGTTGAGTCAGGGGAATTGCTTGAACCCGAGAGGCAGAGGTTGCAGTGAACAGAGATCATGCCACTGCACTGCAGCCTGGGTGACAGAGTGAGACTCCATGTCAAAAACTACAAAAATATTGAAAGAAATAAATATTATTATAATTAATTTACTGAGGATAAGTTTAGAAAAGGTGATTTTCCAAGGATAGTGGTTATTACATACAAGAGACAAGGTTAGAATTCAAGTTCTTCTAACTCCAAATCACAAGTTCTTTCCATACCCAAACTGCCTCTAGATTGAATAAAACAATGAACAAATGCATGAACAATAATAATAGTCCTTATACTTATTGAAATGAAATGCATTTAGTGTTCTAACTGAATCAAAGTACCTTTTTATTATTTTTTTAAAATAAATAATCTACCCAGGAAAAGATCTTTGGGGGTATTGTGTACTTGTCTACAAGTGTCTGTTACAGTACTAGAGACACACATGTCAAAGCCTCCTACATCTATCATGGATTTGTTTTATTTTATTTCAAGGTGTATAATAAGCATCCCATTTATTCTAGGCACTTTTGTTGATGACATACTAGTTACCATAAAATCTGAAAAGTAAGATCAATTTTATGAGCAATTAAATGGGGTCTATCCAGAGGTAATTAATTTTATGATAGAGGTTGAACAAGGTGATAGGAGAGCCTGTTTTAGATGCATTGATGATAGGGAGGAATAATGGCTCATCAGTTATGAAATAGTTCCAAATTACCTTGCTTTCAGGTCATTATTTATATTTTAAGTCTGCTGCCCTGTTTGCATCATGAAGGGAGAGCATATTGTTATTCACAGCCTTTTAGGGGAGAGACCTACCTTTGCTCTTGTGAGGGTAATGGAAACTTAGGCTCTTAGAGAAATGGACTTTCCTTTCCTAGAAGACAGGTGTTGTATGATCCACAATGGAAGGAACAATGAGTCCATTTATCAATGAGAAGAGCTGGCACTATTTGAACTCTGGGGAAATTGATAGCAGGCAGATAAGAATCAGGTGTTTGGTTGTTATGCCACTGGTAGAAATAATTAATCCACTCAATCATTTAACAAACACTTATTGAGAATATTTTGTATGTCAGGCACTATGCTAAATATTGCAGATATAAAGTAAAATGAGACACAATTATTGGGGAGCTAGTGGGTCTGTGATGAAAGTTGTTGCTCCTGCCTTGGAATAATTCAAAAATTAAAACAAATTGCTTTTGAATGGACTTTACTGTCTCAAAATCCAGTGGTTACAAAAAGCGTGAGTGATGTGAATCGCCTCCAGGGCTGTGGATAATTCTGTATTCGTCCCTAGAATAGTGTTCCTGCCACAAAGAAAGACAAATTTACTTGTGATTATCAAGGACGAGATATCACAATGAAAAATACTGAAGGACATTCTACTGAACATGGTTTATCAAAGCTTTACTAATCGTTCATATCTTCCTCATGAAGCTTTTGTCTCCCTGAGTTTTCAGAGCACTCACTCTCACTCTCCTTTACTGTGTCTTCTGGCAGAGAATGGGTCTCTGACTCAAAATGACTCAGGGAAACTCCAGTTGTCCTAATTCTAACTTTGCTTTTAGGCAAGAAATTTTGTCTTGATGAGCCTCTCCCCTTCCACCTGCCCAAGAGAAAAATGCAACCCAAATTGCTAAGGGGAAAGCAAATAAATATTTTCCTAGATTGCATAACTAAGAAGTTAAGTGAAAACAGGCTTTAAGCACAGCTGTATTCATATTCACGTATGTCCTGAGGACTCTGTTTCACACTGTCACCATCATGCTCTCATCATTCTTTTGTTTTTCTGTTTTCTTTGTTTATCTCCAGCAGGACTTCTCAGATGATGGTCTCTGGTATCTCTATACTTGCATTGTCCCTATTGCCTAGAAATGTTCCAAAAACATTTCTTGGACTCATGCTAATTAGACAAACTTGGGTTTGATGTGCCACATCAAACTAACCACTCTGATTGACCAGATTTGGGGCAAATTCCCAACCCTGCAAGTAAAGAGTGGAGATTAACTCCATAAAGATCCTATGGACATAGGGAAGGTGGGTTTCTCAAAGGGTATTATGAGTGTTTCCCAATGAAGAAAGCATAATTTACTTAGCAGACACAAAGGGCAGAGACCACTTTACCCACTTTTCACAGCATATTGAGCATTTGAACCTCACCTCATGAAGTAGTTTGGAGAATAAAAATAGATGAGTGCAAAGTATCTTAGTGGGTAGCACAGAGTAGGTGTTCAGAGCCTGATCTCTTTCTTTTCTTTAAAAATAAAATACATTGCTTTCTGCTTTTTTGTCTCCAAACAGGTGGCAGAAGGTTTTCAGTTAGGTAGCAATTTATATTTCCTATCTTTATACAGATGTACCTGTCCTGTAGCCTGTACTCAGTGATAAGTGTAATTTATAAAGGAAAAGTGTTTATGAGAGCACAGAGTGAAATTTCTGGAACTGCGAGTAGATTTCTTGAATAAGATCATTCATGTTGATATGGCAGATATAAATGGTTCTCTTAGTAGCCACATCATCGTCCAAGAAGGGTTCACCTTGGGTTCCAGTTCTCCTGGTAGGCATAATGCTATTAGAAAAAAAAAAAAGGATTCAAAAGTAATGTATGACCCTAGCAAAAATCACATGACACAACTTTCTCAAAGGCCTGACAACCAAACGTTGTGATGGGTAATTACATAGCCTTTAATGTTCTTTCAGCTAGACAAGGAGTTTTACTAGAAGCACATCTTGCCGTGCCTATATATAAATAAAACAAGTTGAATAGAACAGACTGGGGTTAGGATAAAAGAAAAATTCATCTGACTTTCCAGAACAGACGCAGCTGGACTTCGAGATATTTTTTTGTTTGTTTGTTTGTTTGTTTTTTGGTTTGGGTTTGAACATCTAGCCTCCTGGCCTCAGGAACTACTACAAAGACGAAGAACAATTTTGTTTCCGGTAATTGTTTGTGCTACAGTTGGTCAATGTCTACTGATCAGAGTCTTAAATGCAATTGCACAGCCATTTTTTTTAATACCAGATGTTTCAGTAATTTATCTTGCAACCAAGAAGCAGGAGGAATTAATCATGAAGCAGGAGGATAGCAAAATTATTGCTATCCAATCATAGTATTACCCCAATTCCTGACAACAACCCACAACAGAGCAAACTCCCACTTCCATGAACTGTCCCCAAAATCAACTAACATAAGCCCAAATTCTATAGCAAGCTCCTCTCAACATCATCCTAGTGGGAGTCCCCATAGTTCTCCATGGTGTATTAGTCCATTCTCATGCTGCTAATAAAGACATACCTGAAACTGGGTAATTATAAATGGAAGAGGTTTAATGGACTCACAGTTCCACATGACTGGGGAGGCCTCACAATCATGGCAGAAGGCAAGGAGGAGCAAGTCACATCTTACCTGGTGGCAGGGAAGAGAGAAATGAGAGAATCAAGTGAAAGGTGTTTCCTCTTATAAAACCATCAGATCTCGTGAGACTTATTCACTACCACAAGAACAGTATGGGGGGAAACCGCCCCCATGATTCAATTACCTCCCACTGGGCCCCTCTCAGGACATGTGGGAATTGTGGGAGCTACAACTCAAGATGAAATTTGGGTGGGGTCATAGCCAAACCGTATTACATGGCGTGTGGTATCCCTTGCTTCAGCAACTCATAAATATTGTTGGACTGTGTGTTCTTTGTGGTCTTCTGTGTGTTCTTTATGGACACTGACACCCTTATTAGAAGACAGTCAATGTTAGTTTACTGTAGGGAGTTGTTATGAATAAGTTGAATTACATTAATGAGAGCTATTCTTTGAGTTCTGGGCTCCACTCTAACAGGCATGCATATTTGCCAGTCTCCATCCTAGCAGCATCTGTGGTATCTCTAGGATAAATCTGGAATTTGAACTGTGTGTTTCTGGATATATTTATGTTGATAGAACCTAATTTGGGTGAACAGTATGTGTTGTTTTCACAAATAAGGGCAGAATTGTAGGAAGCAACACTGGTCTCAGAAGGAAATCCTTCAGCAGATGGTGAAGAGAGAACCTGCTCCTCTCTTTGTAGGTTGAGACTATCAGGACTTTAAATATCTAGATTCTGGGAAGAAGGTGTTAAGATGTCACCTAACACATAAGAGAGAGTCTACGAATGTCCAGAAAAGTCTATCCCATAAGCCCTAGAAAGCAAGCCATAACTTGAAAACACATTGTGGAATTGTGTATGACTTGATGCATTGGTTTTTTGGTTAACACAGAGGCTTCACCATCTCTAATTTAATGTTTCAGCCTGGTTTCCACTGTGTAAATGATTATATAGAATATACTGACGACCATCCTTCGTCCAGAGCATCAAAGAACAACAACCCTAACCCCATCTCCCACCACATGCCAAAGGCAGTGAGGAGGTGGAGGTAGTAAGAAGCTGCATCCCTCAAATCATGAAATCTTTCAGGGACAACTTTGAGGATTCTGGTTTTATTTGTAAGAGAGACGGCAGTTCTTTTAGTGTCCCTTTGCTGATCATAAAAGGGTTACGCCCTGAGCCCAATAACAACACCTCCCTAGGTAACGTTATAATACTTGGAAACAAAGATGCAGATAAAATAGTGTGTGCTCTGAGAAATTCACAGACAGCCATCCCCAAAAGGAGCCAGTAGTCAGGCAAAAACCCAAGAAAAAATCCAGTTGATATAGTTACACTTTGTATCCCCACCAAAATCTCATCTTGAGTTGTAATCCCCATAATCCTCATAATCCCCACATGTCAAAGGAGAGACCACGTGGAGGTAACTGAATCATGGGGACAGTTACTCTCATGCTGTTCTGGTGGGTCTGAGTTTGTTCTCATGAGATCTGTGGTTTTATAAGGGGCTCTTCCCCCTTCACTTGGCACTTCTCCTTCCTGCCGCCTTGTGAAGAAGGTGCCTTGCTTCTCCCTCTCCTTCCACCATGATTATGAGTTTCCTGAGGCCTCTCCAGCCATGCTGAACTGTGAGTCAATTAAACCTCTTTCCTTTATAAATTACCCAGTCTCAGGCAGTTCTTCATAGCAGAGTGAAAACAGACTAATATGCTGGTAGTTGGGAGAATGTAAGGGCTTACTTTAAAGCAGCTCAATAATACCAGACCCTGCCCACCCAGTCCAGTTTTCACCTGCCTCTCTCATCTTTGGACACTGAAAATCACTGCCTGGATATCCTCTGTCTTGCTGAGAATGAATTTCTCTCTCTGAAAGCATTTTTGTCAGTTCCTTTCCGTGCTAATCTCCCTGCCTGTCATGCATAGGTAATAAGTGATTGTGGAGTTGTGATCTGTGAGTCCAGAAATGTATAATGCAGTTTGAACAAAGAAAATACTGAGACCTATTTGCTACTTACTGGGCAGGATTATGGTGTGCACCAGGAGCTTGAAATATTTAGATGTCTCAGAACTACAAGTGAGGATTCATCAAGGTCAGCAAAGCTTTTCTTCTCACAGAATTAAGTAAAGCAAGCCATAGAATTTTACTTGGGGGCAGTTTCCTTGACAGGATATTAAAATCAGGACCTTGATTGTCTCTGCTGCCCTCTGAAATAATTTTACATATTTTATTTACAGCAGTTTACTGCTGTGGCCAGCCAAAGAGAGCTCAGGGGATATCAGGACAGACTTTGAAAGACATGTCAAATTAGGCTGAATTTGTGCTATCCTGTAAGCATTTGTTGTACACCTACTACCTGTATGTGCCAACTCTTGTGTTTAATCCTGTACAAGACATGAGATGTGTGAACTGCCCTGAAAAGGCAGAGCGAGCTGGTGAAGCCTGTGGTTATTCTTCCTCAATCTTTCCATCCTCCTCACTCTGCACATCTATTTTATCCCAAAGCATGGCAGATTTCATTTATCATGTCCTCTCATTTCTGCCTCACACTCATCCAAGTCTGAAATTAATCACAAATTTGAACTCTTTCCTGTATACTTCTAACACCCTAGTTTTAGCCACCATTCTCTTTCTTTGGGAGAATAGTAAAGTCTTCCCTATGGCCTGTCTGCTGCCACCCTATGACTCTGCAATCCTTAAACCACTTTCCACACAGTAGCCTGACTCAGTTCAATTACAGAAGAGTTTAACTCAAATCACCTTAGTAGTGGTCTGATGAAAGTAGGGAAATTCCCTTTTTAACAAGGTAAATATTATCTACTTCCCTCTCGACTATATCTTACACAGGATATCTGGCACTTGATTTAAAAACAAGAACGTATGAAAAAGGTAGGAAACAGCAACTCATGGCCAAGAGATAAATTAGTCAATTGAAGCAGGCCCCATGTTGGCCATGAAGTTGGAATTACCACCTTGTGACTTTAAAATAAGTGTAAAAAATGTTTTTAAAAATCTAATGAGAAAAGTTGGCATGTGTGAGCAGAGAAATTTCAAAAGAGAATTTCAAAAGAGAGATTAAACTAATAAAAAGAGAAAATGAACTGTTAGAAATTTTTTTAAATGTCATTTCTTAGATTTCAAAGCATTTTGGACACAGCAGAGGAAAGAGTCACTGAACTTGAAGTCAGGCTAGTAGGCATTACCCAACCTAAAGTACAAAGACAGATAAAAGATGGAATAAAAACAGCTCCAGCACCCAGGACTTTGGAACAATTCTAATAATATAAGTCATGTAATTGGAGTACCTGAAGAAGAGAAGAGAGAAAACCAAGAAGTTTCCAACACCTTTCCAAAATTTTTGGAAGACATAAAATTTCAGAATCAAGAAGGGAAGCAAATCACAAGCAAAATTAATACAAACTGAATCATAATATAAAATAATCAAACTACAACATCTTTAAAGTGTTGAAAGAAAAAAAATCAACCTAGAATGATGTATACACAAAAATTATTCCTTAAAAAGGAATGCAAAATAAATACATTTTCAGTTACATAGAATGTGAGAAAATGTGGCTATAGTTTATCTAAAATATAATAATGATAAAAGGAAATTATTTGTTATACAGAAAAACAATGACATAAGAAAGCCAGATCAATAGGAAGAAGTAAAAAAAAAAAAAAACAAAAGGATCAATATACATTTTTATTATACACACAAACACACGTGTGTGCACACATGTGCACACACACACAGTTATAAAATTCCTTTGGAGATTGACTATTAAATCTTGCAAGAAAAACAATTATTGTGAGTCCATAGTATATGTAGAAATAAAATATTTGACAATAATGGCACACACGGTGGGAATAGAGAGGAGAGTAGAATCTAGGATGAGGTGGGCCGGGTGCCTGGAGTACACAATTTTAGGAAACTCTCATCCTCAGGGTCATGTTTATAAACTAGTTCTCTCACATGTCTCACCTTTGTTCTGACTGAGTGGAAGAAGTAAAATAGAAGTGTACTAGTATATTAACTTTCATTTTTCATTAGGTAGTATAATTTTACTTGAAGAAATATTATAAGTTAAACACACATGTTGTAACATCTAGAGCAAATATTACAAAACATAAAAGGAATAACTAATAAATCAATGAAATAAGATGGAATATTAACAAACAATTCAAAAACAGAAGAAAGTAATGGAGAAGCAAAGAAACAAGCACAAAGGGGATAAATATAAAGCAAGTAGCATTATTGTGGAATTAAGCCTAAACACATCAATATTTATATGAAAAATTAAAGAAACTAAAATACTCCAATTAAAAGACAGAAGTTGTAAAATTAGATACAAAGTAAGGCTCAGTAACAGGTTGTTAACAAAAACTAATTGTTAAACATAAAGACAGGTTGATAATTTTAAAAATGGAAAAATACATTAAAAATATTAAGAGTGAAATAGATGGTATGACTATATTAATTAACAACCCTATTTTAATAAATGATAGACCACTTAAGGTACTAATAGTAACAATATCATAACTTGTAGGATTTTGCTAACTAAGTATTTGTAAGGAGTATTTATAGCTTTGAATGCCTACAGTAGAAAAGAAGAAAAGTTAAAGGTAGTGATCTAAGATAATAACCTAAGGTATATACACAAGCAAATTAAAAACAAAATAGATCATAAGAATAGAAATGAGTGAAAGTTAATAAAATAAAAATTAGATAAAAACAGAAAAAAAGTCAATGGTTCTAACTTGGTTAATTTGAAAGGATTAATAAAATTGATACAAACCTGCTGGGATGATTTTACAAAAAGGAGGGAACAAGGAATCAGAATGTACCTAAGTGACCTGTGAATGGAGAAAGGAAAAACTTGAGCTTGGTTAACAGATGTACAGCTCAGTATGTGGCTATAAGCCAAAAATGGAACCTGGCTGTATTACAGCCTCACTCAGAGGTGGTCTTGTAAAACAGTGATAATGAAAAGTCTCCCCAATGGGTATATCTTTAGGCGTTACACCATGACATTCACTTTGATTGTAATAAGAAGTGGTCCAAGATTGGAAAATTATGGATTTATCAGCATTGGTGAATGACTTGGGAACCTCGTCAAGGGCTTGGATGGAAACAATTGCAAGATGGGAGACAAAAAGTTATGGCAAATATATATAAGAGATATATAGAGTCTTCATAAACTACGGAAATCATTGTATTGTATCTTAATATCTACCAGAAAACATCCACCATAGTAAGGGTACTAAGTAGGTAGAAAAAATAATTTGGACAGTTGGCAACAGCCAGCCTCAGTCAGTAATCTTGCCAGTGAATTAACCACTGGTCTTTCTAGGATAGCCCAATACAATAAATATCCAAAGTGGCACAAATGGAAGCTATGCATTGCCCCAATAGCATAGATTTTCCATTCCCAAGACTGATATAGCTACCTCCAATGCCAAACGTCCAACCTACAACAGAGAGCAAGGGTGAGCCCCCCATGTGTCACCATTCCTCATAAAAACTAAATTACTTGATGTCAATTTCAGTTTATTGGTCCATCCTAGAAAGACCCAGTGGTTCATTCACAAAGAAATAGAAATGTATTCTGCTTATGGATTTGTCTTTCCTGCCAATAGGGCTCAGACAGTATCATAATCCAAGGTTCTTTTGAGTGTTCAATCCACTAGCATGGGATTTCTTGTAAAGTCAGAGCAAGAGAACCAACATTTCAACAGAGGTTTAGGAATGAAGTGATGATCAATAGATCCAGTTTGATATTACATAATACATTAGCAGGAAGCTGCTGGCCTGATGCATTTCTGGAACAGCTTGCTGAAGACACAGTCAAGACATCAGCTCAGAGGTTATGCTCTGTGAAGATGGAATGCAATCATCCAGGATGCATCAGAGGCCTATATATTGTGCTGTGTATTCAGTAGGAAGGATACACGGGTTCAGGAACCAAGTGATGGAAGTAGGTGTGGCCTCACTTACCATGACCTCCAGTGACCCCTGGGGAAATCTGTGCTTCTCCTTCCTGCAATCCCAGACTATTGAGTTAGAGGTCCTGGATCTGAAAGAGAGCATACCCTCACCAAGTTCCCCTCTTGAGTCACACTGAATTAAAAGCTGTGACTGTCACCTGGTTACTTCATGCCTTTTCCCAAGGATGTGTGGGCAAGTAGAGGAGTCACCATTTAGCAGCAATAATTGACTCTGGTTATCAGAAGGAGTTAGGGCTGCCATTACATGAGATGGGGTAAAAAAGAATATGTGTAGAATGAAGGCAATCTACTTCGGTGTTTCTTTGTAATATCCTGAACAGTTGACTGTACAATGACTGTACAGTGACAGATAGGGATAGAAACCTCACTCTACA
Source organism: Homo sapiens (assembly GCF_000001405.40). Taxonomy (NCBI): domain Eukaryota; kingdom Metazoa; phylum Chordata; class Mammalia; order Primates; family Hominidae; genus Homo; species Homo sapiens. The sequence goes on along the minus strand of NC_000008.11, from coordinate 136,147,430 downwards.
AAGGACATGAGGACCAGGGGCTTAGACTCCTTAGTGATGACAATATGGATCATGCTACTACCTATGTAGGTCAGCAAAGGTGGTATCTGAGAGAGGAGGCTAGAATTGATGGAAGGGAATGACAAAAACTATCTACTGAGGCCCGAGACTGCATGGAGGGGTGTGGTTGTAGTTTATCCCATTAATCCCCCTCTTCAAAGTTTCTTCTCTGACAGGTGGATTAGGGGTTGAGACCCTAGGAGAGTGGCTTCTAAATGATTATGGAAGATGGATTCCAACAACACAGAAGGAAAACTACTGTAGCCATAAAGACACACTCCCCAGGATAATCTCCCACCTCAAGGTTCTTAACTCAATCACATTTGCAATATCCCTTTCGCCAGACAAGATAACATACTCACAGGTTCCAAGAACACTAGAACATGGACATTGTTGGAGAAACCACTATTCCACTGACCACAGATCCCAAACTGAGACATGTCCCAATAGTCTTAGCTTTTACATTTCTCATCTTTAGAATTGTATGGGAGATGAGTTGGCAGCTAAAATATCCTTCAGATCTAATAAATCAGACTCAGGAAGTTGTGAAACTCTCAAAATTATATAAAGGACTTTATTTGCTGGCTCATATGTACTTTTCTGAGAGTGGGAGGACAATAATAAATCTTCTTTCCAGATTCTCCAACTAGCTTAACAACAGCTACTCCAAATTCTTACTTTTTACCATTGGTGAACAATTCACGTAGCATGTCCCAATAACTAAAGGACAGTGAGTCATCTTCACATGAGAAATGTAGCTTCAAAGACACTCCATGAATGAAAGCTGCATTAGGAGACAGTCACTTATACAGCTAACATTATATTTTTATAGCCAACATTTACTGGCTGTTCACAGGGATCCAGTAGTGACTGTGCTTAGAATTTTACACAGATTGGTTAACTTTGATTTTTTGAACCCTGTGACATAGTCACTTTAATTATTCCAAATTCACAAATGAATAAAATCAGAACTAACAAGGTTAAATGATTTTCCTTAGGTTACCTTAGTGGAATTTATACAGGCAATCTAATCCCAGAATCCACACTGAATCAACGCTACTGTTTCCAAAATTTGCTTAATCCTAGAAATGTATTAAGATTGTGATAAAATACACATGGAGATGCATTTATTATCTGTTTTTACTCTTGAGATTTTTGAATTTTTAATAATTGACTTAGAAAGAGATAAGTCAGTTCTCTCTGGTATGGATATATAATTTGTTAAACTATTAAAATAATTCAGTTATGTTTAGTAAATAGCCACTTTCTCAAGCCCCCTGAGTGTCCCTTCTCACCCAGTCACCCAACTTCCCAGGACCCTCTGGCTACTCTAGGGTCTAGTAGGTACAAGATTAATGTCCAGGATAGCATAGGACCCCCCAGACCCAGTTCCAACTTCACTATCAACTTAACCTCCTTGTGCAAGATTCTTCCTGATTCTGAGATCACTTCCTCATATGTAAAAGTAGGATAACAAGATTTCAGGATCATCATGAACATCAGACAAACTAATTATGTAAAAGCACTAGATTAAAGCACTCTACAGTTGTAAAGAGTTGCTATTTTTACTCCTAATAGAAGAAACTTAAAGGAATATTTATCTGATGAGATACAAATATGAACCCAGCTGTACTTCAAAGACTGCCCCAAACTACCAAATATCTTTTTAATTGCAAGTAAAAGACTGTCACTAGAATCTCTGGGTCTTTCAGTTGAATTTACTCTTGATCTGGAGATTAACCAAAATTAACTCCATGCCCAATAGAAGAAATCTTATACCGGCCACTTAGACTTCAAGAGCCTTGAGCATGTGATTCCTTGTCTGTAGAGCCCTGCATATTTCCAGGCAGATAATAAATTATCAGAAATGTCTGTTGAAGAAATTTCTATCCAATCTCTATAGTTCAAATGAATAAACTGATGATGTACACACATGGACTTCTATATATAGTATTCTCAAATGACTTTGTCAAGTCTCACACTAACACTGTGGAGTAGGCAGGGCCAATAATATGATTAAAACTTTCAGATAAAGAAGCATCAGACTGAATGCATTCTCCTAGTAGTCAAGCATCACTCTACTAAGATTCTGAAGATGCAAATTGCAGGTAGGTAGATAGATGATAGATAGATAGATAGATAGATAGATAGATAATACATATATGTATATGTGTTTGTGCATATGTATATATGTGTGTTTTTGTGCCTATCTTATCTATGTCTATATCTATCAACCAACCAACCCATCAATCAACATGAAATACTCACTGTTCTAAAATTACAAATAAATTTCTTTACTAGACTCCCATTGATTGACATCTATTCTGGTTTTTCAGCTTAGTGCTCTTTTCCTCACAGCAAAATGTACTGGAAGATGCTAAGCCAATAGCAATGTCACTAATAAATAATCAAACACATGTGGCTTCATGGGGGTTATAGCACAGTACAGGTACTAGGGCCTGAGGGAGAAAGTCAAAAATAGTGGACATGGATGAAATGGAAGGAGATGCCATTGGGGAAGCAAAATAGCTCTTTTCCCGAAGGGCTAAAAATGATAACCCATTCTTCCCACATCATTGACTCAAAAGGCTGTAATGAAACTATAATGATTCATCACATCAGATGATACTGCTGTTTGGGGAGTAGTTGATCCCTGGGTTGCTGGCGTGGTGTGCTGTGCGGAACCATCATGGTATAGTTTGCCAATGAGCACCGTATTTAGGGATCCATGGCTCCCAAAAGGCTAAGCTTTTACCTGCTAACTCTGTGGGTGCCAGTTCCGAAACACAAAGTGGAAGATTAAGGAGAAAAGGTTTTCAGACAAATTGCTACACTATATGAGAGGCAGGGGAGGACAGGGAGAGATGGAAGAAAGGTGAGGAAACTAACAGAATTATATTAACAGGATTTTTTAAATTCAAAAGTATTCACCCGAACCTGCTTCATCACTTCAGGTCAATCAGTCCGTAGGTGGGCATTAAGCCTCTGGGTAAACGAGATATGAGGATGAATAGGAAAATGGAGAAAATATGAAGTGATAAGTGGAAAGGATATCATCCTTGGTCTGTCTTCCTGTAAGTATATTCCTATAAGGAAAATGTAGGTTTCCTGGGTTGTTGTAGTGGAAACAAAACAGAATTTGATAATCTGGCTTTGCACTTTGTTGTACCGGTTACCCATCCTATGACCTTGGGCTAAGAATTTAACCTTAAATTTCCACAGAAAGAAGAAGAAAGAGGAACAGGAGGAGGAAGAGGAGGGCAAGTAGAAAAAGGAGGAAGAGGAGAAAGATTCTCTAATGTTAGACTAAATTGGTCTATAGAATGAAGGGACTCAAAAACTGAAGTTCCATCCTATTTTCTACTCTGAATTTATAGCAGACATTGTGAAAGAGCTGCTGGGTTGTTTCTACGTTCTTATCTCCTTCTCTCACCTGACCTTCTCCGTTCAGGTTTTCATCACCAGTATTTCACAGACAGAGGCGTTTCAACGTTACTGAGGACTTCCAGGTAGTCAGATCAAGTGACTGAGTGTCACTTTTAGCTTGACCCAACAACAGATTTTAACACAGCTTATTACTCTGCTCCTTGAAACACGTTGGGCACTTGAATTTCGGAACAGCAAACTCCCTGGTTGGTTGTTTATCTCAGGATACTCTTTCTCGGTCTCCTTTTCTGGATCTTTTCTCCCTTTCCAACCTCTAAATGTGGGAGATCTGTTACAGAGATCAACTTCGAGCTTTTTCTTCTCTCGTTTCACATTCACGCCCTAGATGATCCTACTGAATCATGTGTCTTTAAATACCATATGTACACAGCTGATTGTCAGCTTTTCTCCCTAATTTACTTATCTCCAATATTTCCACCTCTATGTATGGTAACCTTTCAACCAGGCATTCAGGCCAAACACACGCACACACACACACACACACACACCACTAAGAATTATCCTTGAATCCTCTATTTGTTTACACCCCTCATGCAATCTGATAAGGCTTTCATGTATGCCTTCAAAACACCCAGTAAGAAATACCTACTCATCACTGCCATTGCTGCTACCCCGGCCCAAGCCACCATCAACTCTCACCTGCATCACTGTCTTAGCCTCTGAATTGGTTCACTGATATTATTTTTCCTCTCTATAGTCTTATTCAAATTTTATAATTTTCTTTAAAATTATAAATCTATTCATGTCGTTTTATTGCTCTAAACATTTATCTTCAGAATAAAACTGAAATTCCTTAAAACTTATCCCAACGTCTTATATCACTTTACATCATCTTGCATCTTCCTACGCACCCCCTACTAGCTGCCCCTTGGTCACTGCACTCTAACCACCACAGCTATCTTGTTTTGATTTTAAAATGTCAAGCATGTTCCCACCCCAGATCATTCTACTTGTTCTCCCTTCTGCTTTGAAGATGTGTTTGCATGGCTTGCTCTCTCAAGTCCACAAATTTCCAGGGAAACTTTATATCCTCAGAGAAGCTTGTTCTGGTCACCATTGCTGAAATAGCCTCCTGCCCTCCAAAAACCTTTTCTACCTTTGTCATTCTTCAAGCCATCACTGCACTGCTTTATTTCTCTTCATCACAGTAACCTCTTTCTGAAATTATATTATGTATTGAGCAAGTGATATCATAGTTTATTACATCTTTCCCCAACTCTCATAACAATGTCAGCTCCACAAAGGCAGAGACTTTTGTTGTGTTCTGTTTTTTGTTCTATATTATATCCCACATGCTTAAAGCAGTTTGGATCGTAATAGAGGATATGACAGATAGCTAGATAGATAATAGATAGGTAGGCAGTATATGTAGATTTAGATTCAGATTCATCTTCATGTTGAATGAATGAATGAATATGAACTCCATAGCCTGGGTGTGTACGAGTGCACAAGTAGGGCTACAGCCTCAGCGTGTTGCCTCCCCTGACCACTCTGGGTAATTGGAACAGCTCCAGAATGTCAATCGAGAATTCTCTGGGCTGCAGCTAACAAGGTGCAGACCTCTATCTAACAACAAGACCTTTTGGAATCAGGTCTCCGTGGGCCCTTCTGAAATAACACAGATACAGTGCAGTAAAAACAGCCTGCAGAAACGGCATTTATAACTCTTTTTACAACTGAAGTCTATCACAGGAAATGCCGAGCAAACATATATAAATAAAAATGGATTCTCAGATTTATCTGCTGAGACTGTAACAACCTAATAAGGTGTCCCTGGAAAAAGCAGGCAGCCAGGGAGGGTAAAAATACCCTCAATTTCTTCTTTTCAATCCACATATAAAGGCAATTCTTCCTTGTTTCCAGCTGGGGCCTTTTCCAGTCGCACCCAAGTGGTTCTAGCTACCTCTGATTGGAAGTAAGAAAGAAGGAATCGTGTGTTTGCCTTGCTGAATTCTCCATTGCACATAGTGGGACCCGTCTGACCTATTCCCAGGCTTTACTTCCTTCTCCCACTATGGAGGCCGATGTGATCTATCACTGCCTGAAAGCTTAGCCATAAAAATCTCAAAAGAAAAAAAAAAGCACATGTGTGGACACACTCATGCATACAAATATGCACTTTGTATATTTTGTATATACCTTTCCATTTATCATATGTGCACATATCCTGCTTTAGGCAGAAAGGGGTTAAAAAACAAACAAACAAAAAAAACTTTAGTTAACTCAGTTGTCAACTCATTTTCTGTTACATGAACCTTAACTGTATACTATGGTTCTAATAACTAGACTTTAGTCTCCTTCTCTGTGTTTGAGTCCCCATATCCCCAGTGCTCTTACTTTTAGAGTTTCTGTCCTAAGCATGGTTCATGGACTATTGTCCATGACTCACCTGCTGTCTGGACTCACCTTTTGCCATTGACCCTTAATATCCAAGACAACATAGAAGTTCTTGTTCTGCTTCAGAATCTAGTTTGCCTCAATTCATCAAGAGAGTACCAGGTCCTGACTAGCAATGCCCCAAAATACAGCACCACAAATAGTAGATCTTTCAAACCATGGGTAATTGTAGAAACAAACAAAAATTGTAGGTCAGGAAGAGTTAAGGAGAGTACACGGATGGCACAACAGGAGACGATATTTTGAAAGTTAGTTTGGGGAAGCAGAACATTTGAATAAAAATACACAAGGCTTCGGGACATATTCCTGAGTCTGTTAGGGTTTGGGAAATGGCAGTGGGTTGCAATAGAGATAGGAAATAGGGGCCAAGAAATCATGAAGAATGAATGAAAATGACTGGGTAAATGCTCATTTACCAAATTTCAAATGTTTCCTGTGTCCTATGATATGCTGATGAAAATGCTGGGCTCCACGGACATGACGGCCCCAACCATCAAGAGATCAGAATTGGGTTGCCGTGGCAACTAATAAGAAAACTGGCAATTTTAAAACTGTGATCTCAAGCAAGGCTCCTATTATGCAAAGTGCAGCTTAGGAGTTCATTCAACATAATGAACTGAGCTAACACGGGAATTCTCTCTCTAAGCTAAAACGTATATAATGCTAGAGAAAGCCTAACCAAAATTTATTTTTTATATACATAGTAAAATTAATCCAGTAAAGGAATAAAGAGTAAGCACTTTGGTAAGGAGATGACAAAACTAAGGAACTTATAGGGAAATCAAAACCAAATATAAAATTTTAAGCCTGAGGGATGGATGTTTAACATCAGGAAAGATCAAGGAGTACAGGCCACGGCTCCTGAGCACACCAGGATCATTAGCAGAGCTGTCTACTAACGACCAAAAGCACAAGTGTCCAGGCTTTATGTAAAATGAGACAACAAAACTTCTACTCACTGGTCCAAGAAAGTAGCAAGAAAGCTGACAGTCATGCTTGATGTGACCAAACCCAGGGCTGTCCTGTGAGAGTCTGTGGGATATCAATTCATGCTGCACATTAAGGAAACTGTAATATCAAAAGATAGTATTTAAAAACTGCTCCCAGATCAGTGAAGTATGTACTTTCTCAGCCCTCCAAATCAGAGATAAACACAGATCTGTCTGAAGGGTTGCTACACAACTCAGGGCTCAGACAGTTCTCCAACTCACCTAGCAGTCCCTGAAGATGAGCTCATGTCACATCTTACAAACCACAGGAGGACAGCAACCAGCATGTGGGGAAGTTAGCAGAGGCTGCAAATGGGAAAGATGTCCCCAAGAACTAGAGATAATGCATTCATTAGGTTCATTAATATTGATTGAACTCCTACTACATTCAAAGAACTACTTTATGCATAGAGATATACCAGCAAACAAAACAGAAATCCCTGACTTCATGCAATTTATACTACAATAATCTAAAAGATACTTGAAAATAAGTATCCAACTGAGAACTTAGAGCTAATGAATCATCTGTAAAGTATACATCTCCTCCAAAACCCCCAGGGAGTTTCCTTGGACTCAAAATTTAAGAGATGTATCAGGTTTTTAGTGTCTAACACAACATTTCTTAAGATGAAAAAATTGCATTATAATAATATGTATCATTCATCTGAAGCTCAAGTCTGATAATAGAGCCCAGCCACTTGGATTTGAATCTGTCTGTTTCTTCTGCTTTCATCAGCAACCATCTCCTATATTTGGGACAAAGTGTACACAGAGATTAAAGTATAAGCTATAGCATTAGAAAGCTAAGTTTGAATCTCAACTCTCCTCTCCATTTACCAGCTAAAAGACTTTGGGAAGGCTGTTTAAACTACTGTACTGGTTTCAACAGTTTAACAAGGCAGATGACACTACACTATAACTCTTGAGGCTGTCATGATTTATGTTATGTAATATAATGATTTTATCTATCTAAAGCACTTAGCAGTACTTGGCACATACTAAGTAATCGATAATTATTAACTATTATTATAATTAAACCATGTTGAAGCCAGTTAAAATTTATCCATGATAAGCATTGATGACTCCTGATTCTTCCTTCAAAGGGTGAGACCCTTTAAATTCTGGGAGGTACCACCATTGAAATTCTTAAATCTTTAGAACTCTGGTGAAATGCAGTTCCTCCCCTTTCACAGAGAGCCTTAGAAAGAGAGGGATGCATTTGTTAAATTGATGAGGGCTAACAAGGATTATTTTAGAACCAGAGTAAGTAAAAGGTGTTCAATAAATTTTGACCAATAATTTAACTGCAGTAGAGAAGAAAATTGCTCAGACATGCGATTTGGAACGATTTAGGGATGAAGCTCCTTTGAAATGTACATCCATTCTGTCCTCTAATACCTCCTGAAGGTTGATTAACTCACTAAGCTGGGTTTTATGAGAAAGCCCCTGTGATATCTGTGGGTGAAGTCATGCTGAAAATGACAGAGTGCAGCATTAAGGGCAGTGAATCTTACCTTGTGGTTGTTTGATGTCAGTAGAATCTGATATTATAGGATGTGTTACCAGTGCCCAGTAAAGTCATCAAAAGCAAGCACATATGCCTTTTCTATGGGGACAAAGATGCTATTGATGATGGTGATGGTGATGATAACGATGATGACAATACTGCTGACAATGGAAATAGCTGTTTCCAATTGAGGGTTTGATGCTATGTTAGTCACTATACATGATACTTTAATTTTATTCATAAACCATCTTGAAGTATACTTTACATTATGTTTATTTTACAATTCAAGAATGTAAGACTGACAAAGTTTATGTCACACTACTAACAATGGCAAAATCAGCATTTCCATCTTGGTCATTCTGAGTTCAAAATTTCTGCATGGAATCTACTATAAAATAATTAAATCAGGGAAGTCTTCAAATAGATTTTCTCCATGTTATAATTCTTTGTTCCAAAAGGAAGAAGACATTAAGTATAAAAAACATATTCAACCATTTTATAAATATTATAAAAACTAGATTTTAATAAGGTGCTCCCACTTGAAAAATTGCTCTTCTGAATCTGATATTCCTTTGCTGTATTATTTATCTATCCTGCATGCTTGGTTTCAAAAACACTTCCCACAATGTTCACTGTCCCTAATAAAACAATGTGGCACTTGCATTATGGGCCATCCACAAATTAGTTTGACAGTCAGTAAAAATCATTTTAAGAGAAAGAAAAATCTCAGCTTACAAATTGTGATGGGCATTCATTTGGACATTTGACAATAATATTTGAGCATCTGGATTACACATCCTGATTACAGTTTATAATTATTTAGCCAGCTGTCTCATTTTATTGCTACTGGGTGTTATCTAGACACATATCTTAATCATTCCCAAGTTTTGTGGAAAGATTCCAAGGGGAATAAACAATGGGTCAACATTTTGCCTGGATGCTGTCAGTCAAGATATAAAGTCCCTGAATGTCACAGAGATAAAAGAAACATAAGTGATAAGTTAGTCCAACTACCTTCTTTAACAAATTAATAAACTGTAGCTTACAGAGAAAGTGTAATTTATTTAAAGTCAACGTATTAATCAGGATAGGCAAGGTTATGCTGTAGCAATAGGAAACACCTCATTTCAGTGCTTAACTTTTTTTTAAAAAAAAGTTCCTTTGTTTCTTATGCTGTGACCCAAACAGTAGTCTGTGAATCCAAAAGTACCTGAGACAGGTCTAAATCAATTTAGAAACTTCATTTTCCCAAGGTTAAGGACACACCTGTGACACAGCCTCAGGAGGACCTGATGACATGTGCCCAAGTTGGTGGGAGTACAGCTTGTTTTTATACATTTTAAGGAGACATAATACATCAGTCAGTACATGTAAGATTTACATTGGTTTGATCTGGAAGGGCAGCTCAACTTGAAGTGTGAGGTTTCAAGGTCATAAGTATATTTAAAATATTTCTGATTGGCAATTGGTTGAAAGAGTTATTATCAAAAAAAGTAACGTCTGGGCTATGACAAGGTATTATCATGAAGATGAAGCCTTCAGGTAGCAGGAGTCAAAGAGAATAGACTAAATGTTTCTTATTAGACTTCAGGTCTCTGTTGATGTTAATGCCAGTTAGAATTTCTGGAATACCAAAATAGAGGAGGGTATTATGAGGCATGTCTGACCCTCACTTCCCATCAGAGCCTCAACTTGTTTTTCAGGTTAACTTTGGAATGCCCTTGGCTGAGAGGATGAGTCCATTCAGATGGTTGGGGGCATTAAGAATTTTATTTTTGGTTTACATGTCAATCAGATATCCAAGCCAACAGTACCCTTCTCTTTATAAGGGTTTACATTATCATTACAGTAGGAACATGAGCATGATGCAAATTGAGTCTCTTCTATGAAGTAATGATCATCACTTCCACTTCGTTTTGTTGGGTAAAGTAAGTCACATACTAAACTTTAAAGAAAGAATAAAAGTGTGCTCCTCTTATGTACACTGAAGAAAGAAGCCTGAAATATTTGAGTTGCCATAAACACCATAATCCGCAATAACTGTGGCCATAATCATAAGCGTAGTATTAGCATAATATTCAGTGAAAAGCCTGATTTCAGCAGAGGTTAAAACCAGGAAAAATACTGATTGTCAGTCAGGTCAGTGACAAAAGGCCAGGTGCCAGATAATATTTGAAGTTAGAAAGAGAGTTGACATGCTGTTCTGATAACTTTCCATTTGAGTCAAATGAGTAGTTCAGTGCATCTTGATAGTTCAGGAAGCAGATGTTCAATTCTGACACATGACTGGAGAAAGCCATTCTGGAAAGAATAACACTAAGGTGAGTGGATATTGGGGACTTATCAAACTCCAGAAGAGGTCCAGAAAGCACCAGCAAAGAGACAACCCAAATCAGGGTGAAAAAATAGTTCTCATGATCCAAACTAAAGTGTACTGAGCAGTAGAATATTTTAAAAAATGAGGATGCGAGGTAGAAAGTTAGAACTAGTACAAAGAATGGGTCAACAGTTATATATCCAAACTAAGAGAGTAAATAAGGAGAAGAGCATAAATTCCCTTATATAAAGTCCTTGCATAAGGATTGGTGGAATGCTGATAGTAGAATCTGGAAAGTGCTAAGCACGACCCATGGGCTTCATTCTAGCATTCAGGGAAAAAGCCCAGTCTTGGTGATGAGCCAGAGGGAAACTGAGGCAGAGACGTAATCCTAAAGAGGAAGCAATAGAGGGAGTATGAGACAGATAATAAATGCCTCAGCAGAGAAAAACCTGTGTCCTGAGGGCAACCCCTGGAATCATAAAGACCCTTAGCTCACTTAGTGACTCATTTCCTGGCCGTCTAAAATTGTTCATACATTGCTTACGTAATCCTGTCTAGTTTATCAGGTTTGCATTGGCTGAAGATGACAAAACTGATATATTCTGATAAAAACTTGGAAAAGGTTAGGACCTGTAAACAAAACAAAACAAAACAAAACAAAACAAATCAAACAAGCAAGCAAGCAAGCTAAGCCCAGGAATTCTACAGCATTTCTTTCTTTTTCTTTTTTTTTTAGAATAAGCCACCAGCAAAACATTATTTATTGCCCTTAAAATACGTATAGCACAGAGGGATAATCAGGAACAAAAGATAATTGCTTAATTGACATACTATTTCAGTTTGTTGTTGAAGGGAGCATGATTGCAGGGCAGTTGTTGGCACTATTGCAGTCATATTCATCAGTACATGAGAAACTGAAGCTGGAAAGGGAATGACTGAAACCCACTTCTATCACATGAAGAATAAGTGGGATGTATTCTGCACTTTATGAGTCTGTATGTGTTGAGTGTGTTGGGATTTTAAGCTAGCTATAGTTTAGACATGTTCTCCTAAAAAGACAATTATTCTTTTGTTTACAAAAATTTACAAGCATGTCTCTTTAATAAAACAAAGTTAGAGATAGAAATTAGGAGGTAGTTCTTTACAAAAGATGTTACCAAAATACCAGGGGTTCAATCTAGGTCCCTCTGCATACCAAACATAAAGCCAATCCCTGGATGACAAGTGTTGACAAGGGAGAAGGCTTTAATCGGGTGCTGCAGACTAGGAAATGGGAGCTTAGTCTCAAATCCATCTCCCTGACTGACTAAACCTAGGGACTTATATAGCAGGAAAGAAATGTAACAATGTATACGAAAACAGGAACTAGGGAGGGACAAGGAGGCATCTGTTACAATGATCTGGTGAGCTTCAGTTCTTTAATACTTCTTGAAAGTCCTTTCCTGAGGAAGGAACTCAGATAAAACAAATCCAAGTTTCAAGCTTTAACAGCAGAAGGGTAAATTTCTATGTTTATCCGAAACCAACTGTCTATAGGACTATTGGACCAGTTTCAAAAACAGTAATAGTGTCTCTATCAGTTCCATGGACAGAAGATCTTGAAAATTCCCCAGAGCAGTGGGAGAAGATGGTTTAAGGATAAATAAAGAGGGCCGGACCAACAGCATGATGATCAGCCAGGTAATATGGGCAAAGGCAGCCAGTGGAAGCCAGCTCCTGGGAACATGGCTCATCCTTTAGTCATTTCTTACCTGCTCTATTCTGGGCTTGAGCATCCTTCATTATCCTTGGTGTTTAGCCAAAAAATTTGCACAGAATAGCCTTATGTTAGTGACTTGGGAAAGTCTAAATCACGTGACCATTCTCCATTTTGAGAAAAAGCAAAGCAGAAAAGGGGTAGCAATTTCTAAAGGTAAAATGGAAAGCAGGATGAAGGAATAACCAAGAAACATAAAAACTTTTGGAAAAAGAGCAGAAGGCAGGATGTGATCCCTCTTCCCACCCTGAGCAGCCTCAGGAATGTTGGAAAAGATGAGGGCTTTGCCAATACTCAGGATGGGGGCTCTAGAGCAGAACACTAACCTTTCAAAGTGGAGGGCACTGAAGTCTGGATGAAAAGCTGTACTTTACACTCATAAACTTTGTGCTGAATTTTTGTGTATAAAGGCACATTTAAGAATTGTAAGAAGCATACAGTTGCCACAAACTGGGAGGAATAGATAGTTACAGATACATTCTGCCCAACATTCTGAACTGGGGTTGGCTGAACACAATAATCACGGGAATGCTGAAAAATGACCACTCTGCTCTCTGAGTCAGTGAACTTGCTCTCCTAGGACCTTTCTATTCATCTATCCTGGGCCCAATAAGAAGCCCAATTAAATTTTGTAAGGTAGTTATTGTCTCTTGAGAGCTCCTCATTATAGGAGTAGATCACACTAAGTTAAGTGCTTGCTTCACTTTACCTAGTCTGGGTGTCTACTTTGACAGCTGCCTACCTACTATCCATCTATACTTATTCCTTCTTAATTGAACAGAGGTTTTGTTGAGGCATCTACTCCTTCACCATGTGGTTCAGGGGACAATGATGGCATCACCAATTTCACTGTGTAGATAGTAACTCACGAAGACTGGAGAATGTTGGGGATGTCTCACGTACTGTAATGGAAGCTGGGCCCCCTGAAGATTAGAAATGGGAATAAAAAGTCATTCAGTCACCAGGGAATCACACACACACACACACACACACACACACACACTTTTTATTTCTTCTTCTCACTCTTTCCAACATCCCCGTCTGCTCTGAAGACAAGCGCATAACCCAGTCATGTCCCCCTTACCAACCCTGGCTTCACATAGTCTCCCAGATAAAGGACAAACCAAAGACCAATGAGACTCTGAGTCCCACCTTCAGATCCCCTGTACCCAGAGGCTGACTGGCAGAGTTTGGCCTGCTGAATCATTTCCAGCCCAACCAGCTGTGGCTTGAGAGTCAGACTCAGAATCTAAGTGCTCCCAATGGTGTGCTCTCAGGGGAAGAGTAGATGATGCTAAGAAGAAGCATGTGAATAGGAAGAAGCAATGAGGGTTTCTAGTGTTGGTTGTAGTCAATCCACTATGCCCAGGCACATTCAATAAACTGTTTTATTTAATTTTCACATAAACCAGGTAACATAGGCATTACTAGCCCATATTACAAATGAGGAATGACAAACACACCAGCCAAGGTCCCAGAAAGGAACAGATGGCAACTCCAGCAGGATTTATAGAAGCATAAAGAGATGGCTATGACCCATGGACCAACCATAGTTGGACTCCTTAGCCACTCCTAAACCTAAGGGACAGGGAGAGAGAGCAGCATTCCAGAATCTGATGGGAGCTGCCCAGGAATGAAGTCCTGATGGGAGCTGAGACCTTAGATAGAAGCACACGGATGCTACCAAAGCTCTGGCCTGGTATGGAAAGGGCAGGAAGAACGAATACTGTGGCCTCTCTCCTACCTTCCTCCAATCTTCTGCTGGTGCCTGCCAGCAGCAACTAGAAATCAGAAAGGGAGCCCTGGTAATGTATTCCCCAAAAGAAAGCCTTCCAGGGCACCAAGCAGAGTGAGGTGAGAAAGGGATCTGGTGGGCAAATGGAAAATGACCCCAAACAAGGTACTTGAGATACTTAAGTAATGTGGCCAAGGCTGGAGAGTCAGTAAGAGGTAGAGCCAGCTTATTAGCACAACTATAACAGGCTCCCAAAGCTGTGCTCTTCCCCAAATATGACACTTCTTTGGTGGGAGCTTTATAACACCAACCACTCACTTTTCAATCATGGAAGCCAAGAGAATGAAAACTGATGTGAGCAAGCCTAAGTAAGGATCACAGAGCCAAGTTGAGGTCCTGCCCTTCTCGGGCCTAGCCCTTACTCTTTACCATGCAACACTCTTCATTGTTCCCTCCTCACTTACACACCCTTATGTGCTAATATCCAGCTACAGTAAATGACTTGAGGTACCATTAACGCCTTTCTACTCAAAATGTAGTCTGTGGAGCAATGGCATTAGCATCACCATGCAGCTCAGAAACGCAGAGTCTCAAGTTCCATCCCAGGTTCCAACCTATGTTTAATCAAGTTCCTCAGATGATTTGTGTGTTCACAAATGTTTAAGAAGTGCTGCCCTAATGCATCACGCCCACTCTATGGAGTCTTTTCTTTATCTTTGAGAGGTGTAACGCATATAGTATAATGTTTTAATTTGTCCAGACATAATTTTTTTAAGAAACGCCCCTCTTCAATATGGTGGGAATGCTAATTATATGGCCTGTTTCTTCCACTTCATGGGACTCAGATGATTCAGGCTGGCCTGGGTGCACAAATCCTAGAGTCCAGAGATTAACTCAAGAACAGTTGCTTAAAACGATAACTTCACTGGGCGAGTGAATAAATGACTGAGCAAGAGAATACCCATGTGGCCTTAGCGGGGCCAATTAAGTCATTTTTTGGGACCTGACATGGATCCTGGCAGATGAATCACTTGTATGAGGATCACTCAAGCCTGGAGCTGTGTAGGGACTGTCATTTGCCCAAATCAGAAGGAAGTTCAAAGACAATAAACAAGAAAATTTTGAAAAGATGTGTAAGAGCAAGCTAACTGAAGACAATTGTCTAAACTCTGGACTGAGCAATGCCTTCACAGTTCCCTGAACTCCCCAGTTATAGCAGAAAATACATTTTTGTTTGTGCTTAATCTTGTCCTTTCTGGCAACTCTACCTAGCAAATGAGTGATTCCAAGCTAACTCCGCTGAGTGTTTTATATTTATATTTACCCTCTGGACATAGCTTAAGTGTCACCTCCTCTGGGAAATCTTTCATGACACCCCTTCCCCAAGTAGAAAATAAGAGCCCTGTCTCTTTACCAATATGGTCTTCTGAGTATATCTCTGCAATGGCACTTAAGCCATGTTATCACAGCCCCACGTGTTTCTCCCACATGACTGTAAGCCAAGACCCAGGGCAAAGAACAAAGCCTTCTTTTTTGTCGTTAAAACACCAGCATGTTGAAGAGTGCCTAGCACATAATGGACACTCAATAAATTCTATTTAATAAAACTGCACTGAAAATAACTCTCTCACATTCTAGACACACACAGAATGTGTTCTTAATCCCTGTGAAAATTTCAAGTTAGTAGTATTTCAGCAGAATTGGACCAATTCCCCTGAGCTTGTCCAATAAAAACAAAGGAACAATATAATCACCCACTTTTTTCAGCTTCATTAAGTAGGGAATTGGAGGTAAAACTAGAAGCCAGACAGCACTTGGGAATGTGATACATGCCTTTAAAGGGCTTAAAAAGAACAATTACGAAGACAAGATTCCGCAGTTAAAACGAATCTTAATTGAATCAGCCTGGAAAGAGAAGCTTGAATTAGATTTCAAGGGAAGTTTAAGGGATTCTTCATAATTGAGTAAGTTAATTCAAAACATTCACACTCCAATAGTTTCATCCACTCCTATGGCTGGATTGAGAAGACTGAGGACAAATTAGTAAGAGGTACTTGTATAAAATTCACACACATAGTGCATTCTTCTTTCCTGGATGAACAAGGACCTGCAGTGGTAAAGAAACCTGGTGGTGAAGTAAAATGGTGTCTCAAAGTAATGACTGGGGAATCAAAAAATTAACAGAGGCCCCATTTCCAAAGGTAAAATCAATTAAAATTCCAAAAGCCACATTAATAAACTCAAACCCTGAAATGAAAAAAACAAGTTCAATCACATGCCTGAAGCACCATAAGCATAGAATATCTATATGCACATCTAGAGCTTACTGGCAGGTACATGCTATAATAGGATCAGTTAAAAGGGATATGGGTATGCGGCAAAGTGACGATATTAAGTACTACTGAAGAAGCGAGGATTGGGAGGACTCTCCAGAATAAAAGCCAGCTTATGTAATTCAGCAACAACAACAACAACAAAAATGGTTGAGTACCTACAGTGGACACCTCTGTGTTAGACACTAAAAAATTCAGAGACAAAAATGATTACTTCAACCTGTACCATTGCATGATTTTTTACTATCTGCCCCTAAAGCTTGTTGAAATGAAGTAGGGTGCAACTAACTTAGTAAGGGACTGCGAATATACCTAGAACAGCTGAAAATAGCCCATGCACTGTAGAAGTACATAGTCATGGAGAGGATATAATGCATGCCTGCTAACATTTATCAGAATGTGAAGCCCACCAGGCAAAAGCAGTGTGTGACTTCTCAACAAAGTACATTTGGTAAACAGATTAATTCTAATTCAGGGAGATAGAAAGTGATTGAGTGGATCACTTGATAGGTCGATTAACCACCATGTAAAGTTAAACAGCATTTCAGCAGGAAGCAAAATAAAGAGATCACTAGATACAGAAACCAGCAAGAATTCCCAGGTAGAGCGGTGTATACATACCACTGGAACATTTTTTCCAGACCAAAAAATACATATGATTCCACTTACAATCGCTACAGGACAACTATTTCTACTATGACAAATTCTTTAGAAATACTTTCACATAATTTATCTTCTTTATAAACATAAGGTTGGCAGAACAAGGGATTTTAATCTCATTTTACCTATGAAAAAAATTAAAATTTACACCAATGAATCAAAAAATGGCACAGCCTAATCTAAAAGTTTTCCATCTTCAAATCTAATGCATTCTGCTGTTCTACAAACCAGCAACATAGGACAATAAAACAAAAAAGAAGGCCGTAAGAGTAACTAGAACCACATTATGTAATATCTTTCAGGTTCCTCTAAAGAGATTAAATTTAATGTATAGATATTCAATAATCATTATTTTATTATTAGTTTAATATTTTGAACAGAGACTATTGAGAAGTGAAGCTGGCTGGACTTCTCGGTCGGGTGAGGACTTGGAGAGCTGTTCTGTCTAGCTAAAGGATTGCAAATGCACCAATCAGTGCTCTGTGTGTAGCTAAAGATTTGTAAACACACCAATCAGCACTCTGTAAAAATGCACCAATCAGTGCTCTGTGTCTAGCTAATCGGGTGGGGACCTGGAGAGCTTTTCTGTCTAGCTAAAGGATTGTAAACACACCAATCAGCACTCTGTAAAAACGGACCAATGAGCAGTCTGTAAAATGGACCAATCAGCAGGATGTGGGCGGGGCCAAATAAGGGAATAAAAGCTGGCCACCTGAGCCAATGGCGGCAACCCACTCAGGTACCCTTCCCTGCTGTGAAAGTTTTGTTCTTTCTGTGGAAGCTTTGTTCTTTTGCTCTTCACAAGAGATCTTGCTGCTGCTCACTCTTTGGGTCTGCACTACCTTTATGAGCTGTAACACTCACTGCAAAGTTCTGCGGCTTCACTCCTGAAGTCAACGAGACCACGAACCCACTGGGAGGAACAAACAACTCTGGACACGCCACCTTTAAGAGCTGTAACACTCACGGTGAAGGTCTGAGGCTTCACTCCTGAAGTCAAGCAAGACCACAAACCCACCAGAAAGAAGAAACTCCAGACACATCTGAACATCTGAAGGAACAAACTCCAGACACACCATCTTTAAGAACTGTAACATTCACTGCAAGGGTCTGCAGCGTCATTCTTGAAGTCAGCGAGACCAAGAACCCACTGGAAGGAACCAATTCCGGACACACTATCAACTTCAGATCTTTGCAAATCTGCTTTTGGAAAGATAATGTGAGTCAGTCATTGTTTTCATCCAATGTTTTGTTGATCCATACGTTAATCTCTAGAGGACTCTCCAGCCACTCTCTATTCTCATCCCTCCTTCATCTGCCTTACAGAAGAAAGCCTTGAGATATGTTGTGGTAGGCAACTAGAAAAACTCCAATGACCTTGTGTTCATTGGTTGGGGCACCCTATCCCCCTTGACTATGGGCTGGAGTTGTTGACTCACTGCTAGCAATTAGAATGCCAATGAAGGGATAGGATGCCACTTATTATGTTCTAAAAAGAATGACTTCCAGCCAGGCACAGTGGCATATGCCTGTAATCCCAGCACTTTGGGAGGCCGAGGCAGGAGGATCACCTGAGGTCGGGAGTTCAAGACCAGCCTGACTAACATGGAGAAACTCCATCTTTACTACAAAAACAAAGTTAGCCAGGTGTGGTGGTGCATGTCTGTAATCCCAGCTATTCAGGAGGCTGAGGCAGGAGAATCACTTGAATTCGGGAGGTGGAGGTTGCAGTGAGCCAAGATCACACCACTGCACTCCAGCATGGGCAACAAGAGCGAAACTCCATCCCCCACCTCACCAAGAAAAAAAAAAGACTGGCTTCCATCCTAGGCAGTTCTTCTCACTGTCTCAGTTATCCTTCTCTGGAGGAGGCCAGTGGCTGTGTCACGTGGGAGTCCTGTGGAGAGGCCCATATGGTTAGGGATCAAAGCCTCCACACAGCCTTATAAGTTAGCTTGGAAGCGGATGCTGTCCTCTAGGTCAGAACTTTAAATTAGACCACAGTCTTGCTTGACACCTTGATTGAAACCTCATGAGAGATTGAACCAGAGGCACTCAATTAATTTATGAATAGAGTACTGACCCACATTAAATGTGAGATAATAAATGCTTGTTGTTTGAAGCTGATATGTTGGAGAGCAATTTAACACCGTCCCTCTAGTGCTGAACTCATGATAGAGTGCTCATGAGATCTGGTTGTTTAAAAGTGTGTCGCACCTCCCCCATTCTCTCTTCCTCCTGCTCCAGCCATGTGAAGTGCTGGCTCCCCCTTTGTCTTCTGCCATGATTTTAAGTTTCCTGAGACCTCCTCAGAAGCCAAGCAGATGCCAGCACCATGCTTGCTGTATAGCCCATGGAACTACAAGTCAAATAAACCTCCTTTCTTTATAAATTACCCAGTCTCAGGTATTTCTTTATAGTGGTGAGAGAACAGACCAATATATGTATGTATTTGTGTATTTATATGTATGTATATGTACACACATGTATGCACACATATATGTATATGTACACACATGTATGCACACATATATGTATATGTACACACATACACCATTGAACTCTAACTAGATAGTGAATGTATTGTATCATCTAAGGATATGTGGGTTTAAAAAAAATACACAGAAACTACCTTCCCAGTGAGCTGTCTATATGCATTTAACACCCAAGAAGCAGGGCACCAACAATTTCTAACAGACGATGTGGAATTAGAGCCAAACAATGATATATGTCACCCAATAGCTCACACATCACATTGCACAACACATCCAAAGTGAAAGTTCTTTGTCGTGGAAGCTCACAGTTGGCAGCCTCTTCTGTGCTCTGCTCTCAGGGACTCTTCCCACCAGCACACTGCCCAGTTTGTTCATTCCTGTTCCTGCTGTTTCTTCTTCCTTGCTGCAGCTAATTCCACTCAAGTGCCATGTGACCTTTGGTTTTTCTACACTTGGGGGCATGCAAGTAACAACAGTGACTACTGAAGAACAAAGATGCTAGCCTGGTTGGAAAGGGCAGAAACTTGGCTAAATCCCAAGTCTGGTTTTTAACCAGCTAAAAGACTTGTCTGGGCTCATAACTCTCTACTTTTTACCACATAAGTAATCTTGAACACGTCTCTTAACCTCTAAGAGGTTCCAAATTTATGATGTTATCAAGAAGGTTAATGAAGAGCATCAAGCCAAGAGTGGTGGCATATGTTCTTGTCCCAGATACTCAGGAAGCGGAGGCATGATGATCATTTGAACCCAGGAGTTCACATCAATCCTGGGCAACATAGCAAGACCTGTCTCTAAATAAATAAATAAGTAAAACATCTATGGAAAACACTGGTACATAATAGATCTCTGTGAACATTCATTTTTATTGTTGTAGTTTTATTATTTTTTATATGTAAATACATATATACCAACACATAACTCTAGGGTTATTGAGGGAATTAAATGAGATAGCCTATGTAATGCAACTACTATAAGGCAGACATCTTGTGGAAGCTCAATAAACATTATTTTAGTTTCCTTCCCTTCCTTTTCCTTCTCTTCAGAAGTCTTCCAAAAGGTAGAAAGTTATGTCAATAACAGAAATAATAAAAGATAAAATATATCCAAAAAGATCATGACCAGCCCCTCAAGTCATTCCAGAAAGTTATTGGCTACTACAGCTGCCCTAAGACAGTCTTCTGATTCTTCAGAGGGGTCGTAACTGTGCCCTGTGCTTCCTGACAGTTTCTGAAACTTCCTGATTTTCTCTACATTCAAGGACAGAGTATCTGACTTTTCTTTACAATAAGAAGAACAAAAAAAAATAATCCAAGTAACAAACAGAATTTATTCCGCAGACCTTCATAGACCCGTTTTACTTGGAACAAAGTGTGCTGTGATAATACATTTATTCAATAAGTCTCATTGTGGCAAAGACTGGTAGCTGTTCACCAAAAATTAGTGTTTTTATTTCATGGGATAGAGATGTTGCTGGGACATAGCTGCTCAGTCAAGAACTGCAATCTTCAGCCCCTGCTGCATGATCAAATAAACTTGTAATTGAGTTTCGGTCAATAGTAGGAGCAATTTGTATTACTTCCTAGCTTGGCCCCACTCAACATCCTCCTGGAGGAGCCTAAATTCTTCCACTTTCCCATCTGCCTGCCAGCTGGATGTTAACAGCTAGCTCAGTCTTAAAAAACAGACTTTTAAGATGAGAGCTCCTCCACTGGATTGGATCTCTGAATAAATGCATTGAACAAGCTACCATCACCACCATCACCAATCAACATGCGTGTGAGGAAGACACAAATTTCTATTTTTTAGAACGTTGAGATTCTTTGTTGTCCTGTCTGTTATAGTCGCTATGATTGAAAAACTACCTATCAGATACTGTGCTTATTACCTGGGTGACAAAATAATATGTACACCAAACCCCAGTGACACACTGTTACCCACATAACAAACCTGCACATATACCCCTGAAACTAAAAAAAAAAAAAGTTGAAGAAATAAAAAACAAAAAGTAAATACATCTATTGACTATTTATAATGTACCAAGAACTTTCTGAGCACTGATTATAAAATGATGGACAAAATAAGAATGGCTCATACCTTCATGGAGACTAAACGTGGAAGGACAAACCAATAATTTGAAAAGTAATACAACACTCCTGCATTTAGTACTGTGTTTAAAGGGATTTGAGAATCTTGGATGATACTGAGTCTGGTTCAAGTAGTGCTTCTCATCAGGAAAGCAGCAGTGTCAGAGTTCTAGGAGAATAGCAGATTCAGAGCAAGCCTCAGGCCAGCAGGTTTTATGACCTATGTGCAGAATATTTACCACCTGGCCTCAAATGAGCCTGAACCTGAGCAATAACCCCTGGCCACTCCTGATCCTGTCTGACTGCAGGATTCATTACTCAACATAGGTGTGAATAAGCAGCATATTTCTTTGGTATAATTCAGTAACAGGACCATGACTTAAGTCTATACTGTAAGTATTAATAACAACCTTTAATCTTTGCTGAAAATGCTGAGAAAGAGGCATTTTCTTTCCCGTAAGGTTATTCAACTGTAGGATGTAGACTGAGGTCAGTTTATGGCCATCATTCTACTGCATCAAACCAGCTGGCCCAAGAACAAAGCCAATGCATAGAAAATCAGCGCTGAAAGGTGGAGAGAGCTATGTCAAAATGCATTTTTCAGATATATGAACCATGTTTCCCCCCACTTTTAAAATAACTTGAGCCATTTCTGTCACATGAAACCTAAAGAATACCAGGGAATACTTTCTTACCTCTCTACCAATTGCATTCATTCACTAATTATTACAATACAATTCATTTTCCTGAAATATATCAGAGTTTCAACATAGCACAATAGAAAGAATGAGAGTATTTTAACTTTGTCATTTAATTGGCATGTAATCACGCGCAAGTTACCTAATGTGGTAGAAGCCAAGCATCCCATTATTAAATGAGTGGATATAAATATCATGGTACCTAGGGTTGCTGAGATGAAAGAAATGAGATTGCTGGATTCAAGTTTAGACATATGGTGGAACAAGTTTACACTATAAAACATAAATGCCCCTCTTACATATCACTTAGAAATAATAAATACAATAAATTATTTTAAAAAGATACATATATAAGTGAACACAAACTCCAAAAGGGAAAGAACAAAGACCCGGGTGCCAGAAACCGGCATTCTATGGCGATTATTAAAAAGTCAAGAAACAAGAGATACTGGCGAGGCTGCAGAGAAATAAGAATGCTTTTACACTGCTAGTGGGAATGTAAATTAGTTCAACCATTGTGGAAGATAGTGTGGCCATTCCTCAAGGATCTAGAACCAGATCTAATACCATTTGACCCAGCCATCCCATTATGGGGTATAGACCCAAAGGAATATAAATTATTCTGCTATAAAGACACATGCACAAGTATGCTTATTGCAGCACTATTTACAATAGCAAAGACATGGAACAAACCCAAATGCCCATCAATGATGGACTGGATAAAGAAAATGTAGTTCATATACACCATGGAATACTATGCAGCCATAAAAAGGAATGAGATAATGTCCTTTGCAGGGACATGGATGAAGCTGGAAGCCACCATCCTCAGCAAACTAACACAGGAACAGACAACCAAACACCACATGTTCTCACTTATAAGTGGGAGCTGAACAATGAGAATACATGGACACAGAGAGGGAAACAACACCCACTGGTGCCTGTTGCGGGGTGGGGGCTGAGGGGAGGGAGAGCATCAGGACAAATACCTAATGCATACAGGGCTTAAAACCCAGGTGACGGGTTGGTAGGTGCAGCAAACCACCATAACACACGTATACCTATGTACCAAACCTGCACATTCTGCACATGTATCCCAGAACTTAAAGTAACATTAAAAAAAGAAAGAAAGAAAGAAAAGAAAAGAAAAAAGAAACTGGCATTTTAAGTTGATGTTGAAATGTTGGGCTGAGAAATATACATGAAATGGAAGTTCCAGGGCTGGATGCCGGGATGCTGAAGAACAGAGGATTTGCTATTTGACTATGGTATTGGGAGACTTTTAAATGAGTTCCCTCCATACAGCTAAGGCCTGAGAAAATAAATGCCTAACTGAAGGATGGAACAGAGCAAATGAAGGCCAAGGAAAGCAGGAGTGAAGTTTCTCTCTAGCCAGGCCTCTAGGTGGGGAGAAATGTAAGTTCATTCATCAGAAGTTATTAAAAACCCAAACCTGCATGAAGCACTGGTATAGAATTCAAATTACTTGATATGAATTGCTTCTTAAGCTCTAAACACATATATTAACAAATTAACTTCCCTCAGATTTGGAATGCCCCTAGAACACCCAGGTAAAGGAAACTCCAAATTTTTCTGAGGCAACATTTTCAAAATCCAAACTTACCTCTTCAGCACCCACAATAAAAATATCCCGTATGAGAACATTTACTCT
Organism: Homo sapiens; assembly: GCF_000001405.40. Taxonomy (NCBI): domain Eukaryota; kingdom Metazoa; phylum Chordata; class Mammalia; order Primates; family Hominidae; genus Homo; species Homo sapiens. The sequence goes on along the minus strand of NC_000008.11, from coordinate 136,123,298 downwards.
GATATCAATATTTGGACACCAGCTTCATTTTAATATAGGAAGGACAAATACTAGTTAAATGAATTCAGAAAGCATTAATATGGCAAAAGGTGACCTTTATAAACTATAAAATGAATAATTCACCAGAAAGATACTATAATCCTGGACCTATACATATTTAAAAATATAGACTTTAAAAGTAAAAGCAAAAATGGCAGAGAACTGATTAACTAAAGACTACTCAATGAAAGGTTTTAATACATCACTGTAAGAAAATTATAAATCAATCAGAAAAATATACTAAAGGTATAGAACAAAGATTGAGAAATGTTTCTTGCAAAAGACCAAATAGTAAAAATTTTAAGATTTATAGGCCACATACAGTCTCTATAATATTCTCCCCCTCTCTCTTTCTCTATTTTTACATATAAATATATATTTATATATTGTATGTATAATTATATATATACATATACACAGATGCACACGTGTGCACACACAGACACACTCTTTTAGAGATGTGAAAATCATTCTTTTTTTTGAAAAGGAGTCTCGCTGTGTCACCCATGCTGGAGTGCAGGGGCGCCATCTCAGCTCACTGCAAGCTCCTCCTCTTGGGTTCACGCCATTCTCCTGCCTCAGTCCCCTGAGTAGCTGTGACTACAGGTGCCTGCCACCATGCCTGGCTAATTTTTGTATTTTTAGTAGAGATGGGGTTTCACCGTGTTAGCTAGGATGGTCTCAATCTCCTGACCTCGTGATCTGCCCGCCTCAGCCTCCCGAAGTGCTGGGATTACAGGCGTGAGCCACCTCGCCCAGCCGAGATGTGAAATTCATTCTTAACTCACAGGCCACACACAGGAAGTCCCAACCCAAGCCATGGACTGGTCTTGCCCAGTGGGTCATAGTTTACCAAACCATTATTTATAAGATAAGAACACAGGTAAAGAGATTAACTTCATCAATACTTATTAAATCCTGCAATGAACAAGTACAGTATGCACATTCTTTTTACATTCATATGAAAAATCTTTATAAATAACAATAACATAATAATCCATAAGCAAGCTTCAACCAATATCAATAAAAACTTAATCTCCACCAAAAAGCAATATGTTAGATATTAATATTAAAGAAAGCCCAAATATATGAACACTTAAAAATTTTAAAATAAAACCCTTAATAAGTTATGGGATGAAAAAGAAGTCATAATAGAAACTTCATGATATTTCAAATTGAGTGAATATGTAAACACAACTTTAAGAATGAAAATGTACAGCATTTAATGCATGTATGGGAATTAATATAACAAATGTATTATTAGACTAATCATGTCTTATTAAGAATGTTAAAAGTTTTCTCTAATGTTAAAAGTTATTGTTGACTAGCCGACATTGTCATTCTTAGACTTCCTCCTTAGCAGGGTACAGGAGATTTTTGTAAGCACAGTAAGAGCAAAAAAGAAATAAGAAATAGTATAAGTCCTGGAAAAAGAAATAAAATTGACATTAGATAAACTCACAAACAATATGCTAATATATAGAAAAATACAATTTCCTAACTATTAAAATTAAAAAGGTCAAAGTTGCTAAGATAGGATCAAATAACATTTCTATATATCAACAACAATCAATTGAAGTAAATTATCATTGTAAATAGAGTAGCACACAAAACAATCCAAATTATGAAAACATATTTCACACTTTGAAAGAAAACATTCAATATGTTGAATTGAAAGGTATTGAAACTACCACAAATTACATTTTAATCAAAACCAATGTGATTTTTCACTTAATGTAACAAGATGTACAATTATGTACAATAATGGATATGCAGGAATAGTTATGTCAAATTGTAAAATGAAATGGAAGTAAAAAAACTCATCTCACTAACATTTAAATACACTCTAAAGATATAGAAATAAAAAACAGTATGAGGTTTGGACAGGGATAGGAAAATAAATCTGAGAAAGCAAATAGAGACCCCAGAGAAAAAAGTGTGTGTGTGTTTGTGTGTGTGTGTGATTTATACATGCATAGTCATCTTAGTTATATATTTGATATAAAATGTATTAAAAAGTTGTTAAAGTTAGAGGACTCCATTGGTTGCATACAAGTAATCTCTCATATTTTGTAATGGAGTTGGAAGAACAATGAGGACAAACACCAGGACCCAACAGCCAAAGTGGATGGATGACCTTCAAGGATAATTACCAAAATATATTGTTATATATTTGATATAAAATATATTAAAAAGATGACATAAAATCTCAGGGACAATTGGTCATCTATATATGGAAAAGCAAAATAGATCCTTACCTGACACATTAAACCCATACACACACTTATATCAGTAGAGATGGATATGAATGTAGATAGAAATATATATCAGGTAGACAAAAAAAAAAAAAAACTAAAAAATTTAGAATAATTTTAATTGCCAAAAATATGCCCTTTAGGAATCAGTCTTTGGTAGAATATGTTAAATAAAATCTCAGGGACAATTGGTCATCTATATATGGAAAAGCAAAATAGATCCTTACCTGACACATTAAACCCATACACACACTTATATCAGTAGAGATGGATATGAATGTAGATAGAAATATATATCAGGTAGACAAAAAAAAAAAACTAAAAAATTTAGAATAATTTTAATTGCCAAAAATATGCCCTTTAGGAATCAGTCTTTGGTAGAATATGTTAAATAAAAACAGGAAGATAAAATCTGAAAAGTTTTGATAAAGTTGACTACATTAAAATTAAAGAGGCCGGGCGTGGTGGTCTATGTCTCTAATCCTAACACTTTGGGAGACCGAGGCGGGCAGATTGCCTGAGCTCAGGGGTTTGAGACCAGCCTGGGCAACATGGTGAAACCCTGTCTCTACTAAAAATGAAAAAAAAAAAAGTAGCTCGGTGTAGTGGTGCACACCTGTAGTCCCAGCTACTCGGGAGGCTAAGGCATGAGAATCAGTTGGCAGGAGTTGCAATGAGCCGAGATTGCGCCACTGCACTCCAGCCTGGGTGACAGAGCGAGACTCTGTCTCTAAATAAATAAATAAATAAATCTGTATGACAAAATTTTTATTTAAATAAGCAAAAGTAAAAAATAATTCATAGTCTGAAAATAGATACCATATACATGTGAGTTTTAAAACACAATATTAACATTATGTTAAACATAGAAATGGTTACAACAGCTAGATGTTGCATTTCATTTATTCTATCCCATCTACACATTTAAAATTTGTAGAATAAATATTATTTCTAAGCATTTAGCATGATGCCTCCCCCAAGGTCACCATGTCTAATAACTACATAGTTCTTACCAAGCACCAGACATTGTGCTAAGACCCACTCCATAAATATATATATATATATGTGTGTATGTGTGTGTGTGTGCATGTGTGTGTGTGTGTATTTAATAATGACAACAATGTTATGAGATTACTATCCTCATTTTAAGATGAGGACACTGAGGCATAGCAAGGTTAAGTAATTGGCTCAGATAATACTATTTCTTTAGACACTATGCAATAATGTATCTCAAAGGCATGCATTTTCTCACTATTAGTTCTCTTTCTTTCAGAAAGTTATTACGGCAGGTAAGAACTAAGTAGTACTTTCCAATTTACAAAGAGGTTTTCTGTAGATGAGATATATAATTATGTCAACAACCTGGTGAGATAAGAAGGAAAGGCAGAACATTTCTCATTTATAAATGAAAAAAAAAATAGACACTCAGAAGTAAACTTACTAGTCCAAGGTCACAGGGCAAGGTAATGTCACAACCTGGACATGAATACAACTCTTCTTACTCCCAAGCCTAATTTAAAACCAGGTCTCTCTCAGGTTCTAATTTATATATTTTATTCAGGCATTTCTTTGATGTTATTGGCAAACTTCCAGGATCCATTGTCGTAAGAGCCTTTGAAACATTTATGCACAACTTATGATGGAGATTTGGCACCCTTGGTGGTGTTGGTGACCATCTAAAGAGGATTACTGTGCTATGCCTTGGTGGGCATATTAAGAAAGGGGGAACTTAGCCTCGGCCTGACAGCTCCAGAGATCTGGAACCATAAAGGGAGGATGAGGAGGGAAAATAAATCATTGAGAAATGGAATAGTAGTGCCAGGATTCCCCAGTAAGACCCTAACACTCAAAGATAATATCCTTAAAATAAGGAACTAAGGCCATCCCCAGACTTTGAAATTTGAAGCTTGATGACTGGTGGAATGCCACAGCTGCCCAAATCACACTTCATGTTGAAGCACCTCAAGCTTTTGGCCCAAGGGCCAGAAAATGGACCAGGCAAAGAAGACAGAAGCAAAGCATTATATCAAAACATGCACATGGACATCAGCTGACCTGGACTTAGTGGCCATCAAAGTGTCAGAGAAAGAAAAAATGGTGGCTGGGCATGGTGGCTCATGCCTATAATCCCAGCACTTTGGGAGGCCAAGGCGGGTGGATCATGAGGTCAGGAGTTTGAGACCAGCCTTACCAACATGATGAAACCCAGTCTCTACTAATATATATATATATATATAGTGTCACACACACACACACACACACACACACACACACACACACACACACATATAAATTAGCTGGGTGTGGTGGCGCACTGAGACAGAAGACTTGCTTGAACCCAGGAGGCAGAGGTTGCAGTGAGCTGAGATTGTGCCACTGAACTCTAGCCTGGATGACAGAGCGAGACGAAAGAAAGGAGGGAGGGAAGGAAGGAAGGAAGGAAGGAAGGAAGGAAGGAAGGAAGGAAAGAAGGGAGGGAGGGAGGGAAAAAGAGAAAGAGAGAAAGAAAGAGAGAGAAAGAAATGGTAGTCAAAGACAGCCCTGAAGCGCAGCAGGAGAGACTTAGGACATACTAGAGAGAAGGAAAACATACAACGGGGTGAGAAGTAAGAAAACAGTGCCTAAGGTGATAGGAAAGAAGGGACCATAAAGGAGAGTGAAGGAAGGTTACAATGTAAGACACTCTGGTGGACAATTCTTGCTCTGAAGATTTTAGCCAGGTTTGCCAAACATTTGTTGGATCTGCATTGTACAATTTGATTTTTACTAATGCTAAATTCTGCTTTCTCCTTCTTCCCATCATGGGGGTTGATTCTTAATTCACATCCTGCACCCTAAACTTTGTCTTTTCTAGGGAATTATAAATGGCTGGTATTGGTAGTAGACCAAGGAAAGCAGAAGCTTACAGAGCTAGATTATGCACCCTATGGATAGCAATGAGGGCCTTATGCTGGTGATACGTGGAACACAGAAAGCACCCAGCACAAGGGAGCTGTCCAGCTGCTGAAACATTCACAGGTGGTGCATTCATAAGGCATACTGCTGAAAGGGAATTCATTAGAAGGTGTGGTAAATGTACCAAGCACTTGAAGTACATAGAGAAAAGAGTAGCTTTAAAGATAATGCTGTCAAATAGTATTGCTAAGTATCACTGAGACATTACAAAAAGATAATGAAGAGCTTAGTGCAAGTGTTATGCTATTCAAAGCCAGGTGTTAAAGTTAGAGGGCTCCACTGGTTGCCTACAAGAAATCCCTCATATTCTCTGATGGAATATGGAGGACAATGAGGACAAACGCCAAGACCCAACAGCCAAACTCGAGGGATGACCTTCAAGGATAATTACCCAAAAGGAATATTGTATTCTGGGAAGTGGGAAGGTCAGAGAGTAGTGTCAGCTTCAAGGATATAAAGAATGTAGAAGTCATGGGCCCTTCAGTTCTCATATTAACAACAGTCTGGCCCCTGAGGAAATCAGATGGATTCTGAATGAAGTCTAAGGATCAGTGCATGAATAACCAAGTAATAAGCCTGGTTGTAACCAACATGCTACATGTGCTTTTGTTGTTGTTAGACTAGATTAATATGATCTCAGGTACATGCTATAGAGACATTGTTTTGGCAAATGTGTTCTTTTGTATTTCAGTCAAAAGAGAGGATAAGACATAGTTTGTATTCATATGGAATGGGTAAAAATACACTTTAACAATATTACCCCAGATCTATGTTCACCATCTTGTCCTCTGTTACAAAACAGTTTAAAGAGAGATGGACCACCTATAGGGCACACAAATATTATTTTAATCTATTATATGATGGCATCGTGCTCAATGAACAAAGTGAGCAAAAGGTGGCTTACATGCTGGCAGTCTTGGTGAAACTCATGTGAACCAGAGGGTGAGGTATGAACCCGGGCAGTTTTAGGGGTTTGCCACTTCCATAAAACTGTTAGGGTCCCAGTGGGGCAGAATTATGTGAAAGACTTACAGCATTAAGTGGGGCCCAAAGCAGAAAAGAGTTTGCAGCAATGTCCAGGCATTAATGTAAGCAGCAATGCCAATTAGGCTGTATAATTTAGCTGACTCTTGTATTACAGATGGGGAAAGATGCTATGTGAAGCACATGGCTTGCTCAAAAAGGAGAACTGCAATTCAGTGCCCTGAACCAGGAACAAGATCAAGCCAACTGTTGGAAAGAATGTTATGGCTTAGGAAACAAAATCCTGGTGAACTAATGGGCTATGGTAGAGACAGAATGTCTAAGCATGAGACAAGTGACCATGTGTCTGAAACTGCATCATGAACTGTTTCCTTCACAGTGACAATGCATCATACTTTCAAAGCAGTACCTACAGAATTTAGCCTGAGCAAGACCAGAATGCACAAGCAAGATGCATGAGCAGATATTTCATATGTCCATGGCTCCTACCTGTATTGGGCAAACACTCTTGTTTTGTCAGGTATCTTCTATGATCATATGTATGGGAGATCTTGGATAAATAGCTTACCTAGAAGTAAAAGCCTAAGCCGAGCTTACAGGTGGCTTGGTTCAGTGTGTGTGTGTGTGTGTGTGTGTGTGTGTGTGTGTGTGTGTGTCTGTGTGTGTGTGTGTGAGTGCGCACAAGGTGAAAATGGAGAGCAGTGTCACAACAGCCTCATTTAGAGATGGTCTTAAGGATAATGACAAAGAAAAATCGTCTCAGTGAACAGAGCTTCAGGCAGTGCACATGGTCATCCAATTTGTGTTGAAATTAGAAGTAGCCCAACATTAGAATAAATAAGAAGTCACGAGCAGTAGCGAATGGTCTGGCTGACTTTCCAGGGGCTTCAAGAGAAGATTGTAATATTAATAACAAAGAAATTTGGATGGATGTATAGAAATGGTAATAAGTTGTACAGTTCTCAGCATTCGCTAGAGAGTATTTACCATAGTAGAGACACTAGATAACCAAGTAAACAAAAAGGCCCAGCAAGCCAGCTGATGTCAGCTAGTCCTCGGTTAGCCCAATGCTGACTCAGGAATGAAGTGTCTACAGTGCCACAGGTGGACCTTACGCGTGGGCCTAATAGCAAAGACTCACCAAGTTTGATCTATTCCTGTTACCAAATATAAAAACTTCCAGCAACAGAAACAAATGGAAAGCTTTCAATGGGAAACAATTTCTGTAAGAGACCCTGAAGCTACTTGGTGATAATCAGACTGTATTGAACTCCTGTATCCTGAAAGGGTAAGTAGTTTGTTCTCACCGAAGTAAACGTGTTTGCTTTTACTAGCAAAGGGCCTTAGGCAGCATCATTATCCAATGGATTTTGGAGCATTTGACCCATGTAAATCCAGGGGATCCACTTTACAGAAAAAAAGAGTTGAGGGAGTCGATCCATGACCATGGGATCCTCTGGTTGTACCAAACTTCACCACATAGAAGCTTTTAGCCTGATAGAATGTTGAACTGGCCTGGTGAAGCATAGTTGAAAACAATAGTTCAGAGTCAATACTTTGAGATCACTGCATGCCATCCTCCAAGACCCACTATATGCTTTGAATCAATCTGTATGGCATTGTGCTGCCAATCGGAAGAACATACGTCCTGGTAATTTAGGGGTAGATACAGCACTTACATCAACCCACAGAGAAAACTGGTGCTTCCCATCCCTACAACTATAAGTTCCGCAGTTAGAGTCCCTGGTCCCCAGATATATATATGGAAGTACAGCTGAGCAGACAAGAGATAGACCATGGTAGATCTGGAGATGTGCTGCCTTAATCCTTCCGAAAGAGGAGCTTGCTGCCCATCTGTAGGGAGCGCTGCTCAGAGATGGCCACTAATAGCTTCCCAGCATTTAACTTAATATCTGCTCTTTTGTCATACACACACACGTGTTTATTTTTCCACTGTAACCTATGCAATCTATACATGATTGAATATTGTTTTGTAATATTTTTACTTCAAAATACAGTTATACATTTACCAATATGACTAAATAGTCTACAATATCATATTTGCAGCTACATTAAATTCTAAAATCCAAATACCATATTTATCTGATTTTGATGTTTTTTTATTTTTATGTATTGATTTATTTATTTTGAGAGGAAGTCTCACTCTGTCACCAGGCTGGAGTGCAGTGGTGCGATCTCGGCTCACTGCAACCTCCGCCTCCCAGGTTCAAGCAATTTCCCTGCCTCAGCCTCCCGAGTAGCTGGGACTACCGGCGCGTACCACCACGCCCAGCTCATTTTTTGTATTTTAGTAGAGACAGGGTTTCACCATGTTGGCCAGGATGGTCTCTATCTCCTGACCTCGCGATCTACCTGCCTTGGCCTCCCAAAGTGTGGGATTACAGGCATGAGCCACCGCGCCCGGCCAATGCTTATTTTAATTGTACTTTCCCTCACAGTGTAGAGCAGGTTAAGTTTCCCTACAGACAATGGCATGCAGGGATTCTCAGGATACACTTGGAGAGGACTCATATCGACTAAAAACTTTACCATAATTAAAGTTGTAGGGTATTGTTAAAAATGTAGGGATAATACGCTGAGGACAGAGTAAACTCATTATATCTGTTTATTAATCTTACTTAAAACATTCTTGACTTATAAATTTAAATACCACCTGCTATTCTTGAATCTGTCTTCTTTAGCCCTGAGAGAGTCTAGCCCCAGGTTAAGATGGGCTAGAGCAGGTGGGGCCTTTCTAAAACCAATCTCCCGTGGCCCATTTCCCCATCTTAATTATTGGTTATAGGAGCAACTGCACAGCATGAAAAAATAAAACTTACATAATTCTGTTTCTAATTTATGCTTGCAATAAATTATAATTGTGCCTAATTGCTTATGCCAACCACCAAGTTATGATAGGAGGAGAATGACAATGTATTTCTAAAATAAGACATTATTGAGATTGTCAATGTATTAAGCAGATCAACTATGAGAAAGTGCAGAATGACAGTTTGCATATTATCAAGCACTAGCTGGCAGGACTTTGTTAAAACACAGAATCTGGCCGGGCGTGGTGGCTCACGCCGGTAATCCCAGAACTTTGGGAGGCCGAGGTGGGCAGATCACAAGGTCAGGAGATTGAGACCATCCTGGCTAACACAGTGAAACCCTGTCTCTACCAAAAATACAAAAAAATTAGCTGGGCGTGGTGGCGGGCACCTGTAATCCCAGCTACTCAGGAGGCTGAGGCAGGAGAATGGTGTGAACCCAGGAGGTGGAGCTTGCAGTGAACCGAGACTGTGCCACTGCACTCCAGCCTGGGCAGCAGAGCAAGACTCCATCTCAAAACAAAACAAAAACAAACAAACAAAATCCACATAATCTATGGCTTTTCATATTGGCGTTTCTATTTGTGTTCCCATTTGTTTCTCTGACCCGAAACACAAAAACATGTCATGTTAAAAAGCTTGATCATGACATTACTGAAAGCAGAAGAGAAGATTCTCTGAGAGGCCTCAAGGAACACAAACATTCTTCTCTCTCTAGGTCAAGCCTCTTCTAATAAGTCCATACAGAGTAGTGGGGAAAACATGCTTCTCTTCAAAACTGATCCGCTCTCAGCTTGCTCATCAGAAATTTAGACATCAGATATTTGTCCTTTAGGGACAACCTCTGAAGGTGATGTGATGATTACATGTACTACCAAGGAAGATGGAGAAGGTGGATATTATGGACAAACTTTACAGTAAAATGCTAATCTTAGTCTGGTTAGGCTACTGTAAAAAATACCATAGACTGGGTGGCTTAGGAATAACAGAAATTTATTTCTCATAGCTCTGGGGGCTGGGAAGTCCAAGATCAAGGTGTTGGCAGATTCTTTGTCTGGTGAAGACCTGCTTTTTGGTTGACAGAGGGCACCTGTGTCCTCACATGGTAATGGGAGCAAGGCAGCTCTCTCATCCCTCTTTTTTTAAGGCACCAATCACATCATGCATGATCCTTGTCATGATTTAATCACTCCCAAAAGCCCCACCTCCGAATAGCTTCATCTTAGGGGATAAGATTTTAACATATTAATTTAGGCAAATGCAAACATTTAGACCATAGCACTGCTAAATATACCGCAGTCCAAAAAGAAATTAATGCAAATTTTAAATAAGCTCATTAATAGCCATGTAGGTTTGGATACATTACTTAATCTTTTTAATATTTAGCTTCCTCACATATATGGGAAAATGAATGCCTATCTCTCAGACTATCTATAAAGATGACATAATAATTTATATAAAGTACTTACCAGTGTATATAATATTTTCTATTTTAGATTTACATAAAGTTTTAAATTTATAAGTTCTTTCATGTGTCTGGAACTAGTGGAAGTACTTTCAAAAATAATTCCTAATTTAATCCTCACAGCAACTTTGTAAGGACATGATTGTACTAATTATACAGATAAGAAAATGAAGAGTAAAGAAATCTTGAGACTTGGCCAACATTGCATAATTGGTAAGGGAGTAAAAGCTAGGGTTTAGTGTTCTCAATCACATTCAGAAATTGCCCCTATACGCATACTGGAGTAGCCAACAGCACACCCATCAGAATGGCTTCCTCAAGTCTTCTGTAAAATCTAAAGAACAGCATTATAAATGTCAGCAGCACTGGCTCACTTCCATTCTGTTGCTTTTTAAGTGAAAAATTTAAAAGAAAAGTTAAAAATAAAAATCGAACCCAGTCTACAGGATGAATTATATTCTGCTTAACATATATCAGCAAACTTTTGATTTACTGATACATTGAACAAATGCATATTAAGCAACTTCCACATAACATAGAACCATATATAAGAATAACCTAAAAATAGACCTGACACTATTTACCAATTTCTCCTCACCGTAACGGTGGCTGTACCCTTAGAGTGATGGAGGCAGAATCTGTATAATTCCAATACTAATACATTTATTTATGTTGCACAGTAGTCGAACTTAGCATTAAATAAAGTGCTAGTTTTTGAGATGCATTTTCCCAAACTTTAACTTTTAAAAAATGAAGGTATTGTGCCTTACCTCCCCAGAATTTAGAAACAGTCTACCTAGGTCTTTAATTATTTTGTCCCTAATAGCTATTTTGTAAATCTATAAAAATGACAGAAATTCAACAACTGTGACTCAGCTTGAAAGCCAAAGCATCGCAATGACCTCTGTGAAATGCTATGCAGCTGTAGTGGGAGGAGTTTAATTTCCCTCCCTGAGTTTTCAATGGAAAAAATCATTTTCCTGGCGGACTACTGCCTGGGATGCTCTTCCCATAACTAATACACCTTTTCATTTTGTTGATTTCCTATCTGCTGCCTTCAAATATTTTCCCTCCTCCCACCTCATCTTCTACCTTCCAGCCTTCCCATCTTGTCCAGCCCAACTGTGGCAGATAGAATATAAAGTAATAGAGAATCACAAAATGAATTTTTTCTTGGATCTGCTTTTCAATCAGCCCATGCCTACTCCATGGGAGTTAAATTGAAAACTTATGAGAATGAAATTGCATTGTCCTTATTTTTTTTTTTGCAGCTAATGCATATTTTCTTACAAAAAATTCAAAGATATGTAAATGAGTAAATAGGGATAATTTCTAAATTATATACTGAGTATGTGTTTATATGGAAAGATATCGATCAAATTATTTATTGTAGAAGTACATTTTCATGGATAATATGGAAGAAAATGTGCACTGAAAATGTGAGAAAAGGGACAAAATATATGTGTGTATGTATACAGGTACATATATCTTTTTCAGTCATTCAATAAATAAGAGTTCTTATATGGTAGCCAGGAGCTGAGTGTTGGGATGAATAACCAGTCCCTGCCCTCAAGGAACTCACTCATGGAAAGGGAGATAAACCTGCAAATGAACAATTACAAAGTGAATGATGTTTTAAGAGTCATTTCAGAGTACCTGAAAATACATCTGGGCATTGCATGATATTCCTCTTCTTTGCCCAAGTCTCCCATTTTCTAACATCAGTTTGTTTTAGACCAGTTTATTTGACTAGTCTGAAGTCAAACAGCTCATCAGTGGAAAATCTCACATTCTGCAATTCTAAAATGAAAGGGTCAGAAAAATAATACTCTTTCAAGAGAGATAATTTGCAAGATGCTTCAGGGGAAATTGTTAAAATAAAATTTTAAGAAGAATCAGATAATTACTTAAAACAGATGAGGAACATGACAAAATAGCATAGGATGGGAACAATATTTTATCAGCCTTGTGATTATAAACAACCTCAACAAAGAATAATAAAACAGCAACATTTATTGTTTATCTTAGAATTTTTGTTTTGGGGTTTTTTCTTCACTGAACAAGCCAAATAACCAATAAATAAACAAAAATACACATACATAGACGCATAGACACACACACACTTTTTTTTTTTTTTTTTTGAGGCGGAGTCTCGCTCTGACGCCCAGGCTGGAGTGCAGTGGGGCGATCTGGGCTCACTGCAAGCTCCGCCCCCCGGGTTCACGCCATTCTCCTGCCTCAGCCTCCCGCGAAGCTGGGACTGCAGGCGCCCGCCACCACGCCTGGCTGATTTTTTGTATTTGTAGTAGAGACGATGTTTCACCGTGTTAGCCAGAATGGTCTCGATCTCCTGACCTCGTGATCCGCCTGTCTTGGCCTCCCAAAGTGCTGGGATTGCAGGCGTGAGCCACCGCACCCAGCCTAACTTGTCCTTAGGCGTGAGAAACCTTTAACATAATACAATTTCCTTAATGTCATATTGAATAAAGGTCTTGGTGTGTTGAGAAACGGTAGTGTAGGGGAAAGTTTGAAAGAACCACATTGGAAAAAAGAAAGATCATTAAGGCACGCGTTGGGGTGTGTGTTGTGGATGCATGCCGGCAGCTTACACGGACTGATATTTAGAGGGTTATTCCATAAAAGAGAAAATCTTTACTGGATTGAAACTAATCCCTTAATCTCTTACATTTGTACATCAATTTACAGTTCCCAAAGCCCTTTTCCAACCATTATCACATTTAATCTTCAGAAATGCCAGGAAAGAACACAGGACAGGGATTAATCTGCCCCTTTTAATGTACAAAGGAGAGGATGTGATTTAGCCAAGGTCACAAAGACAGGAGGAGCAAAGCTGGCTGGGGCCTTTGGTTTTTCTTTTTCTTTTTAGTCATGACCCCTCTTATTACTTTTTTTAAGCCTGGAGATAATATTAATTTGGGCCATGGGAAGAAAGAAGTGAACAAATTATAGTCTTAGGTTAACATGCAACAGATATTTACTTCGTTCCTCCTACATAGCGAAAACTGTTTAAGGAATTGGAGGTTTGGAATGGAGCAAAGGTACTTTCTTTTTCATGAAGATAATATTTTAGTACAGTGTAGATGAATATGAAATAATTTAAAAGTTCAGTTAGTGTTAAGTTATATGAAAAAAAATGATAAAGAGATTTTATTAGTCAGTTCTCGCACTGCTGTAAAGAAATACCTAAGACTGGGTAATTGATAAAGAAAAGAGGTTTAATTGGCTCACAGTTCTGCAGGCTATAGAGGAAGTATAGTGTCCTCTGCTTAGGGGGAGGCCTCAGGGAATTTAGAATCATGGTGAAAGGTGAAGGGGGAACAGGCATCTTACATGGTGGGAAAAGGAGTAAGAGAGAGAGCAGGGAGGCGCTACACACTTTTTTTTTTTTTTTTAAGAAGGAGTCTCGCTCTGTCATCAGGCTGGAGTGCAGTGGTGCGATCTCGGCTCTCTGCAACCTCCGACTCCCTGGTTCAAGTGATTCTCTTGCCTCAGCCCCCCGAGTAGCTGGGATAACAGGCACGTGCCACCACACCTAGCTAATTTTTGTATTTTTAGTAGATAAGGGGTTTCACCATGTTGGCCAGGGTGGTCTCGATCTCCTGACCTCATGATCGGCCCACCTCAGCCTCCCAAAGTGCTGGGATTACAGGCATGAGCCATTGCGCCTGGCTGGTGCTACAAACTTTCAAACAACCAGATTTCATGAGAACTCAGGCATCATCACAAAGACAGTGCCAAGGGAGTTGGTGTTAAACCATTCATGAGAAACCACTCCCATGATTCAATCACCTCCCACCAGGCTCCACCTCCAACATTGAGAATTACAACTGAACATAACATTTGGGTGGGGACACAGATCCAAACCATATCAGAAACAGAGGGTGGTGGGCGATAATTTTAAGAGCATGCTTAGGAAAGGCCTCTCTGAGCAGGGAGCATTTTGGCTAAGAATGTAAGCAGGAGTCAGTCCTGCTTTCTGAGAAGGCCTGTAGGAAAAGCATTTTAGACTGAGAAAACAGCTGGTTCAGACACTCCAAGGAGGGAAGAAGCTCAGCTAAATGCAAGCATCCCACAGTAAATTTGTCTTGGACATTCACATAGACGCTGGCTTTTGTGAATTTAAGAAGCAAAAAATTATTGTTTCTTCATCATTCTCAGCAAACTATCGCAAGGACAAAAAACCAAACACCGCATGTTCTCACTCATAGGTGGGAATTGAACAATGAGAACACATGGACACAGGAAGGGGAACATGACACACTGGGGCCTGTTGTGGGGTGGTGGGAGGGGGGAGGGATAGCATTAGGAGATACACCTAATGTTAAATGACGAGTTAATGGGTGCAGCACACCAACATGGCACATGTATACATATGTAACTAACCTGCACATTGTGCACATGTACCCTAAAACTTAAAGTAGAATTTAAAAAAAGATTATTGTTTCTTAATTTCCCAGTAAATGTTTTCTTTTTTATTATTTAGATGAAGAGTATGGCACACTAGAAAGAAAAAAGGGTTTGATGGTAGACAGAATTAACTTTAAGTATCAACTCCATCTCTCCTTATTTCTGTTAACTTAGGTATTTAAAATTTGTCAACCTCAGTTCCCTCACCTGTGTAGTAACAACAAAAAGCTCTACTTTAGATATTTGACATTAGATTCAAATGAAATCAAACATTTATAAATACTTAGTAAATTTCCTGAGACATAATATGCACTTAATAAATATAATTTCTTTCCTTATTCAAGAGATTTAAAAGTATTACAAATAGAAGCATTACAAATTAAAGCTATTACTAATTTCACAACCTTCCTGCTTTCATTTGATAAAAATGATTTTCATTAGTATAATGACATATAAGTAGCAATTTGAATAGCACACTATTTACAGGTTCTATCAAATTTATTTAAATGTAAAAATTAAAAATAATCTCAATATATGAGTAATCGGCTAAAATAGTTTCATTTTTCTAGGCCTTGGGATTAATATTGTCAACAAATAGAGAAGAAAAAACATCAAGGATAGTCTAAGGTAAATTGGCCAAGGTACCTTTGTATTTATCTAAAGAAATAATAAACGGAGTTATCATTTTTTGAATGATTACTATCTGCCTTGAGTTCTTATGGTATACCTCTAATTTTTAAAACAACCCTGAAGGTTAGGTGTTTTTATAAAGACTTTAGGCGCTGCAAATGACAGAATCCCAACTGTAACTCAGGAAAGAGACAATTTTGGTTCCCCTATCTGGGAAGTTCAAGGTTGGGACCAGAACCAGGCATGGCTGCATTCAGAAGCTCAAACGAGGTTTTGACTCTAGCTTTTGCCTTGGCTTTTCCTTTCAATCTGCCTGCTCTACATCCTTTTGGGTTGATTTTTTCATTAGGCAAGCTACTTCCAGAAAACGAAACATCATGCCTGGAGTCCCAAGATTTTTGTAATTCATGATCCAAAATTAAAGAAATTTCTCTTTCCCAGTGACCATAGAACAATCTCAGGAAGGGTACTCATTGGCCCTGCTTAAAAGCAAGTGACTTTCCCTTAACACTTTCTCATGATCAAAGTGATGAAGTAAAATGCCCAACCTATAGTAGTGGCAAGGATGGTGTTTAAAGATGGTAGGGAAACAGTGCCATGTTTGACAGTCCAATAAGGACCAAATGGAGATGGCAAGAGGGTTGTAAAAGGAAGGATGTTAAATGGATATATTGTATACTCTATGCTAAATTGCATTCTTAATTTGCATATGAGAAAACTGAGCCTTGGTCATGTAAAACAACAAACAAATGTAACCTTCTGCAAATCACACAGCTAATTGGCGTCAGAGCAAAGAATCAAAGTAACAACTTATTCTAAAGCCTGAGACCTTTCTAGGATGCCACCTGCATTTCTAACCCTCCATTAATGGATGCAGTGGCACCTTCAGTGAATACCTCAACATGGAGAACTAGATGATTGTGTTAACATTTGCAAATTCCAATTGTGAGGAACTTTTTATGCATTGTGTTTCTTCTCTGGCCAATTTTTGGTGTAGGTACATTAGGTTTTTTTAACATGTGACTTCCTTGTGCTATTTTATATTTTTTCAAATGCAATCAACTAAACAATAAAATTTTCAGGAAAAAAAAGCAGTTTATTGCAAATAATTCAGGCCATGCATAGCTGAATTTAAATAAGTTTTGGATTTTGAACAGTGCTTATTTTCCATTTAAATCCACAAGGCCACACAGAATGTCAGAGGAAAATGAAGAAGCCAGTGTGATGGTTTCCAAACTGTGTTTCCAGGGCCATGGGGCGCCGGGGCTCCAGGGCTCCTCAGGGGTCCAAGCAGCAGCCAAAAGGAGGTGCAGGGCTGGCATGGCTCAGGAAACCGTCCCCAATCCCGCTCAGATTTATTTGCATCGTTTTATGTGAGAGGTACATTACTTTAATAAAAAAAAAATGCAGCCTCACTCAAGGGTGTGATAGCAGGACGTGGTTATTGGTGCCATCCTTAGCACACATGGTAGGGTTGCTGTTTGGCAAGTTACTTGATATAGCTAGACTGAGCCCTCCCCTTTATTTCAGAATACTCCACTCAAGTGAGCACAAGTACTTCTGATATTTACTACTCACACAGGTATAGGCAAAGCAAGGGGAGTCCTGGAAAGGCAGCCCACCAACAAGAGGGCTCTCTGATGTCTGAGCAGAGAGACAGCCTGGTCTTGGGGACAGATATATAAGACAGTACTCAGCTACTGAGATTTTTTCCATAATGCTAGGGCACATGTATTTTGAGAGTTTTGAGATGTATTTTGAAAGGAGCAGGGAGGGTTACGTTGCATACCACTCATGGGGCATCTGATGGATTCTGCCCTGGAAGGTGTTTGCAGTGTGGCCAACTGTCTTCTAGCTGAGATGGACATACTGCTTCCAACTCCTCTTGTTCACATTACCCAATCCTTCAACTCTCAATTTCTCCATTCATAAAAGGATCTAAAAATGTTTATGTTGTAGCTGTGTGATTATTAGAAATAAGCCCTCCTCCTGGTACGTATAGTATAAACAAAATGTTAGCTACTGATACTTGTATTGTTAATAATACTAATAAGAATTTCTTAATATAATTCTATGTTAAGTCTAAGTGCTTTACATCTATTGTCTAAATATCTTTCCTAATAACTCAGGGGTAGGTATTATATTATCCTTCATCTTGAAGTGAGAAAACTGAAGACTGAAAAGTTCAAGTGAAACTGTAAAGACCGAAAATATTTTAACAAAAGTTATGTTTGACTCTAGGACCAAAAACCTTTCCCTAAGATATGGACAATACTGCCTCTGTTAATAATAATAGTAATTTTATATCTGTGTGTATGTATATATATGTATATAATACTATATATTTAAATAAGTAAAATATATAAAATACATAATATATATATAAAACAACCATTAATATTCATGCATACAGCTGGCCAGAATTCAGTAACCATCTCACTCCTTTCTCCCAGCAAAAAAAAAGCAAGAGGAGGAAGAGCAGGACAAGGATCTGTATTCGACACCTCCAGCTAAACAGGGGATTACAGGTCCCCACAACTTTTGTGAGTTTTATTTTCCTGTTACCCTCATATTTTTCCAACAGGTGCCAGAAATTCAATTGTTGTCTGTGGTTGTCCTGGTTAATATGAGTTACTATTACAGCAATCTTCACATTCCTGGAGACTCTTTCCTGCCCAGACCGTGAGGTTAGATGCACACTGCTTCCATTTAATATTTACTACCCCCACTATCCCTAAAAATAAATTCATAGGCTTACTTGTTTGACTATAGATCCCTTTAAAAAAAAAAAAAAGAAGGAAGTGCCTCTTCTGAGACCCTTCTCAGGCATCCTGTCCTCTGTGCAGCCAGCCTTCTCTCACCTCTGCAGGTAGAGTCAACCAGAGTCTCTCGGCCACTCTTCTTTGAACTGATCAAAGGAATATTTGTTGAGCCTTGAGCACACACATCCAGACTTGTCCATTTACCCCCCACCTGGAGGGTGTAAGATCACAAGTGATCATGACTGTGGAAGAAGGAAACTGAGATTTTCAGAAAACGGCGCAGAATGTGTAGACAGACAGATGATGAACTTGTTGCCTGTGCTCTTGGGTGCAACAAATGGACCTCGGGCTCAGCCACCAGCGGCACCAGCTCCACTGTCACTAATCGACCCAGAACAGAGGACTGATGACTTTTTAAGTCAATTGATTACTTTTCTCTTAGAAATTTCTTGCCTTCTGCCTTTGATCAGAGAGAGAGGTCTTCTCATGACCTCCTCTCTCCCATACATATCTACATTGAGGAAACCCTCCACAGCTTTAAAATTATGATTTCTGACTTATTCTTTGAAGTTTAGTCCTCATCATGCTTTTCTTGTTATTTTTCCCACATTTGTATTCTGTGCACTTGGACACTTGCCACACTAAAGGGTGTTACTCATCACTTTCTTCTCTCCTCGGTGGCATGTGAGTGCATCTATTCACTTGGCACTCATTTGTTTGGCAGTGACTGTAAGCCAGATCTGATGCATACACCAGCTTGTAAATTGAATAAATGTCTCTAATACTATGTGCTCACAATAGGGTAGGGGTGAGGAGAAGGGGAGAGAATCACAACTGCATAATAATAATGTAAGACTGCAAATGCACTGAGAGAGAGAGATGTGCGGGGAATCAGGGAATCATAGGAGCCCAGGGGAGGTGCTCTTTACCCAGCCCAAAACCATAGGGAGTGTCAGGTGGCCCTTCCAGAAAAGAAGACTCCTGTTCTTCTTTTTATCAGTTCTTCCTTTTATCATACATTAAAGTGGTTAGAGCTTGGTGCGAATGTTTAAAAAAAAAAAAATACCAGCTGCCAACTGAGAAAAAACAACTAGGTTTAGAAACTTTATAAAAACGAAGATTTGACATCCATGATCTCTGAGCAATCTCTGTTGACCCCATGCTTGCTTCTCTTAACTTTGCGAGTATCGTTCAAGGCATCTTTAGGCCTAGACACCTTTTTCTCTTGGGTCTGCAGTTCACCTCCCCATGAAGGCAGCTTGTTACAACATTGGCAACAGAAATTTCAATGGAAAGAAAAAGAGACATGAAGCAGCATGCCTTTAGGATCCTCCAGGTTTCAAGGCATTCATCACCTCTGTGATCTCCAGACTAGGTGGTTCCCAGAGAAGGGAATCCCCTGCCCCTTGCAAGGATGTCTCTTTGTGTATTTTGCTTACATCTCCAAGACAATAAGAAATGGTTTTGTAAGAACAAGAGACACAGAGCACACAGAGCTGGTACATCCAGGCTGCGGTTTAAGAGCAAAGGCTTTGGGATCAACAAAGAAGTTCATTGTCTGGCCCTGCCAATTACTGTGTAAACTTGATCGGGTTATTTAACCTCTCTTGTCTTTCGTTTCCTCACCTATAAAATGGATATTGTCTGAAACAAGCCAGACAAAAAAGACAAACGTCACGTGCCCTCACCCATAAGGTGTACATATTGACATATACAGTGGCATGATGGAGAATGAAGACTCAGAAAGGTGAGAGGGTGTGAGGAAGGTGGATGATGAAAAATTACTTAATAGTGCAATGTGCATTTTTCAGGTGATGGATACCCTAAAAGCCCTAATTTATCCACTATGCATGTGACAAAATGGCACTTATATTCCATACATTTATAAACATAAAAAATTAAAGGCCGAGTGCAGTGGCTCACGCCTGTAATCCCAGCACTTTGGGGGGCCAAGGTGGGTAGATCACGAGGTCAGGAGTTTGAGACCAGCCTGGCCAACATGGTGAAACCCCATCTCTACTAAAAATATAAAAATTAGCTGGGTGTGGTGGTGTGCGCATGTAATCCCAGCTACTCGGGAGACTGAGGCAGGAGAATCGCTTGAACCGGGGAGGTGGAGGTTGCAGTGAGCCGAGATTGCACCACTGCACTGTAGTCTGGGCGACAGAGCGAGATTTCATCTTAAATAAATAAATAAATAAATGAATAAAATAATGGATATTGTCTTGGTATCTACGTCACAGTGTCAGAATTCAACCTGAGAATGCATGGTAAGGAGAGCTTTTGTCAATATTTCTTCTTTTATAAATGTTCAGTTCAATTCTGAACAATTGTCTCTGGAGTGTATGTTTAGTGTTTGCAAAACTAGAGGGAACTTCCGTGATCATAATGGAGGACATGAAGGCAATCTCAAAAAAAATAGGAAAAGTGAGGTTATTAATTGTCATCAGAATATATTTGACAAAATGCAGGAGATAATGGATTTTTACCTAATGCCACTTTGGGGTACACATTCTACAAATCCTTTTGCTTTAAGAAACAGTTACTGAGCTGCTATCATTAACAAATTACTGCCTGCAACATTGTGGGGAACACAAGAGTGAATTGATTCCTTGAGGGCAGAGATTGTATCTGTCCAGTTTCGTACCTACAATACCTGTTAGAGAGTATTCATGAATGTGCTATGAATGAATGTACTAGAAAAGGCACCAATCTGACTCTTGCAACTCACATACAACATGTGTGCAAATAATAATGCAGTGTAGAAGGTGTAACTGCTCTTAATTCAGTACAACTGGAGAGAGATGAAATGATACCAAAAGTGTGATAGATCAGGATGAAGATAGTTAGTAAACCATCTCTGCCATTTACAAAGCTCTTTACCTGCATAACCTTGAGTGAGTCACTCAGTTCAGCTCAGTATTTGTTGAATACCCACAATGCACCAGGCACCAGGGATTTCAAGGTAGTGCACTATGCTTCTAAGAATGAGCATCAATGCCCCTGTCTGAGAAACGAAGACAATGGTTGTACTAATAGCCCTGGGCTTTTGGTGAAGTTTCAGTGAATTAGCATAGGCAAAAGCACTTTTTACAGCAAAAACTGGTTTTCAAGTGTGCATTGTTGTTGAGCCTTTTGCTCTGGGAGTTCATTAAACAGAGAAAGATGACTTCCAGATGGAGCAGTGAGCATAAACAGCCACTACATAGAGACAATAAGTTTACCTGAGTCCTATTGGGTTTTACGTATTGAAGCAAGGCATCCTGTGGCATTTATGAATGCTTCCAGAGAGAAATATGGAAAATGGACTAATTGAATGAAAGATGGATGTTTATTATTACTGAAATGTTATTCAGAGGACGTTAGAAAACATGTTCAGATAATTAGCTATTATGATCAGGTATCTATGGAAACAGTTATAAATCAGAACTCAAAATAGACAATAATTGAACCACTTAATGAGGGAATAAGAACCCAAAAGCAAACATAGTTCAGTGATTTCTTACAACATATATAAAACATACATAAAATTGTACAAATTTCAAGGTCAAATATGGCATTAAAAAAGAAAAAAGATCCAGGTAGGGTTAAGGGAGTAGAATAGAATAGATGAAAGAAACCATTCTCCATGTTTGAAAACCATGCCTGCTTTATGTGCATTAGCAGAAATACTCATTGTGCCCTTGGTAAGATAATAATTTCTTGTAATATTTAATATATGTTATCAATAATACAGAAAGCATTGAGTTTTCTTTCTGCTGCCTGGCACTTTTGCAGAGATACAAAGATGAAAAGAACCCCATCTCTGCCCTTGAGGAACTCACAGTATGAAAATCAGGAGAAAGATTTAATAGACGAGCAACACGTGAAAAGTATTCTGGGAACATAAATTTGGTGTTGGGGCTAGGAATGCTCAGGAATCACAGGGAGAGGCACCATTCAAGTGTGGCCTTAAAGCCAGAGAGATGATCATACAGGTGGAGGAGATGGGTGAGAAATAGTACTGGGAAGGTGCCATGACACTGAGTTATGTGTACAATGCACTGGGAAAGGATGAAAGCAATGGCTCCTTAGATATTCTTCTGTGATTTTGATCACATTACAAATACATCCTCATTTAAGCCTCACAACAACCCTATATTCAGTATTATTCATCATCCAAGTTTTCTACATGAGAAAACAGATGCTCAGGGTTATTAAGTAACTTTGCCCATGGTTGTCCTGCTAGGAGTGAGGATTAAAAATGATGACTGATTCCTAAGTTTGCGGTCTGTGCCCGGTTTCCCACTCTGATTCTGTCTTTTTCTCTGATTTTCTATTGCTCCTGTTTTGTTTTTTTTGTTTGTTTGTTTTTTCTGCCATCTGTTTGGTGTCTTGTATTCAAATCTTTCCAAGATAAAGTCTGACTGGGGCATCTCTGCTAAACAGAGTTCCTACAGGAGGCCACTGCATGGAATGCTAGTGTCCCTTTTATGTAAAGCTTGTATGTGCATTCAGATTCATAGTTTAGTAAGAGGTGGCCAGGACAAGAGTCACAGAACACAAGGCATATCCTCAAGTGATTCCCAAGGAGATCTGGGCTAGGAAGGTGTCTGTAAGTATGACAGACACTCAAGAGTCTCATTAACTGATCCCCAGCACAAATTGTCTCCTATGAACAAGAGTTGAGCCCCTTGTTACTCGCTTGATACCTGATGTTCTGGCCTATGAATAAGGCACTCTCTTCTATACTCCTGGCTTAGGTTGCATTACCATATTGGGGATACAACTTTGATAGGGGTACCAGGCAAAATGGTTGACATCCTGAATCCAAGGTAAATTCATTGTAGGCCACTCTCAAAAAGGGATGAGACTTCTGAGGCCCTGTTTTGACCTAGAAACTTCATTTGTTCATGACTTCTCTAACAATGCACGTGACTTTTCTGAAGGCAACGTTGCCACTTGGTAATGAAATAATCCTGAGTAGTGGTAATGGTAATGGCTTGGCAATGGGCAGAACAAAGGCAATGCCAGAGGCTGATGCAAGAACCACAATAGCAGCTGATCACATCTGGTTGAGAGGTTGCCTCTGATATGAAATAAACGCCTAATCGTTTTTAGTCTCCTTTTACTTGTATAGATATAATAACAATAATAATATAATCTAAAAGGGAAGATAAAAAATACCAACTTGAAATAGTAATTCTAAATAGACTATGCAATGAGAGGTATGCATGTTGTAATCCCTAAAATAACACTAAAAAGGGGAGTGAGTGTGAGAAATATGGTGCAAGAGGCAATGGATATTAAGATTAAATGCTAAAACACATTCAGCTAAGCCAAAAGAGGGAAATAAAGGAAAAAAAAACTGAAGGACAAAAACCAAAGTGGACAGATATAAAATTTAAAAATTAAGTGATATGCTTAAATTCAGCCATATCAATAATTGCATTAAATGTGTATCAAGTAGCCAAAACATCAATTAAAGGGCAGAGATTGCCAAATTAAATTAGTGAGAAAAAAGACAACTATTTTCTGTCTACACAATGTCCCCTTTAAATATAATAGTGCAGATAAATTACAAGTAAAAGGATGGGAAAAAGTATACCATCTAAATGTCAATTTTAAAGTAAAAAAAAAAAACTGGAGTAGACATGTCGATATCAGATAAAGTAGACTTCAGAACAAGGAACCTACTATGGATCAAGAAAGATATTATTAATAACTAAATGGTCAATTCACCAACTGTGTTAGTTTGCTAAAGGTGCCATAGCAAAGTACTGCAAACTGAGGGGCTTAAACAGTGGAAATTTATTGTCTCACAATTCTAGAGGCTAGAAGTTTAAAATCAAGTTGTCAGTAGAGTTGCTTCCCTCTCAGTGCCGTGAAAGAATCTGGTCCTTCCTTTTGCCTAACTTCTGATGCTTTGCTGGAAGTCTTTCACAACCCTCAGCTTGTAGAAGGACCTGGATCCAGATCAAGATCTGCTGCAGATCCAGCCGGAATCAGAAGACCTGAATCACAGGATGTCCTATATAAGGACAGGCCTTCCTTGAAAGTGAATCTTAAATGGCTGTCTCATCTTACTTGATCTCTCACCTCCTCACAAGTCTGGATAGGGTCCTAGGTATCTCATGGCCAAGTCCATAAGAATCTGGCTTGTAAGAAGCATCACCCTAACCTCTGTCATCATCTTCACATAGTATTCTACTTGCATGCATACCTGTGTACTAACTTCTCCTTTTTGTAAGGACTTTAGTCATATTGGAATGGAAGTTCACCCTACCTTTGTATGGCCTCATCTTAACTAACTACACCTACAACAATCCTATCTTCAAATAGTCCTTATGAATGTGAGTATGAACTTGGAGGGAAACAATTCAACCCATAACACCAAGAAGACATAACAATACTAAAGGTGCTGGAATCTAACCTCAGAGTTTCAAACTGCATGGAGCAAAGACCGATAGTACTAAATGGAGAAATGGACAAATATACAAAAATAGTTTGAGACTTATCAGGGACAAATTAGGACCAACTGATGCCCTAACATAGAACAACAATGATGGACGTTGGACATTCCATTGAATAACATAAAGGACTTTGGTGTTTGTTACACAAATCAGCTGATAATTTATTTATAGACTGGCCCAGGTGACTATGTTTACATTCAATGGAAGTGAAACTCTCCTGAGATAAATGAGAAACAAATGTGATACAACATGCCACTTTCAAACGAAAGTTGTAAACTTTAAGCTCTCACCATGTCCAAAAAAAAAAAAATGTGTTTAACCGTGCAATTTAAAGTTGAATAAGGCAGATAAAGACCTTTGCCAAAAAAAAAAAAAAAAAAAAAAAAGACTAAAGTTGACTGTGGCAATGAAAGAGTTAACAGCATTATAACCAGGGGAAATAAAATTGTATGGTTTGCCTCCCTTAATGTCTTAAACAAATGCTTATTTTACTTAATGGTGAATTCAGGGCTGAAATAGCTATCTAGTCATACATACATATACATGTATGTATATTTGATAGAACAAATAAATGGAAAATTGATAAAACTATAGAAGCCCAAAGTTACATTACCAATTGACCTCATCAATATTTATAGAACACTCTATCCAACAACAGCAGAATATGCATTCTTTGAAGTTCACATGGAGTATCACGAACATAGACCATATATAATGAGTCACAAAACGTACGTTAATTTTGTTAAATAAAATGAAGTGATGTAATTTATAAAGCATACTCTCTGACCATAAGGGAAGAAACTAGAGATTAATAAAATAAAGATAGCTGGAAAACCCCTAGATATTTGGAAATTAAACATCATACTATTAAAATATGTTATGATTCAATAAATAAGTTTCAAATAAAGTATACATTATTTGAAACTGAATGAAATGAAACATATCAAAATGTGTGATAATCATTACAAAATAGCCTTTAAAATGAAGCATAAGGCTTATTTTAAAAGTCTTTCAAAAAACCAATGCCAAAAATAAAAACATTAAGTAATTAATTGATTAAATTTGTGGAAGGCAGCTAAACCAACATTTAGAGAAACTTATAGAAAAAGACAAACATCTTAAATCAAAAATCTACATTTTTACCTTAAGAAGCCTGATAGAGGAAACTAAATAAAAAACTCGCAAAACAGAAAATAATAAAGATTTAAAAATAAATAAAAATGGGAAACAGTTTATCAAGAGAAAAAATAAAGAGATTGTTCTTTGATAAGATTGATAAACTTGATAAATTTTAATATGAGAATGCTGTAAACAATGCTATGCCCATCATCAAATATTAATATGAAAGATATTAACTACCAAACTCACTCAAGAAGAAACAGACAATCCAAATAGTCATATATTTCTTATAGAATTTAAATTAATAGTTTAAAACTTTCTAACAACAACAACAACAACACAAAACTTCAGGTCCAGATAATTTTACTGGTAAATTCAACCAAACATCAGAAAAGAAATAGAATCTATTACAGACAATTTGTTCCAGAAAAGACAATAGGAGGGAATACATTCCAACTCATTCTAGGAGGGCAGCTACATAGTGATACTGAACCTGCATGAAAAGATTACAAGAAAAGAAAAATACAGACCAAAACATTTCATGAGCATTCATGCAAAATTCTCAACAAAATATTAGTAAGTTGAGTTCAACAATATATAAAGTGAATAATCCAGCACAACCAAATGAGCTTTACAACTAATATCATTCTACAACTAATATCATACCTAACGGTGAAATACTGCATAATTTTCTTCTCCTATACACGAGAATAAGGGATGTGCTATTTAATATCACACTATGTAATCTACCTAGTACAGTAAGATTACAAAAAATGAAAAGCATACAAATTGTGGGGAAGGGGCAGAAATCAAATTGTCTTTGTTTATGGAAGTCATAATCGTCTATGTAGAAAAATCCCAAGGAATCTACCAAATGGCTTCTTGAATTAATGAATAAGTTTACAAGGTCACAGTTTAAAAGGTATAAACTTTACATACAATATAAAATATCAATTGTATTTCCATATACTAGCAATAAATACCTGGAAATTAAAAATTGTTTGAATCACCATTCATGATAGCATCCAAAAAGAAAATATCTAGATGTATACCTGACAAAAAATATGTAGAATCTTATCCTAAGAACTACAAATCACTAAAGAAATAAACTAAAGATGATCTGAATAATGAGGAGAGATATTGTTTCATGGATGGTAAGATTAAATGTCATTCTGTTAATTTTCTTCAAATTCCTCTATAGAATTAATGTGATCCCAATTATAATCTCATACTTAAACTGATTCTAAAATTTATATGAATAGCATGGAAACAAATAGAACCGAAATAATTTTGAAAGAGAAAATATTTGGAGGACTCACATTACCCAATTTCAACACCTACTATTAATACAAACCTATAGTAGTTTACACAGTGTGTTATTGAGAAAGGTTAGAACATTTATGTACCTTTAAAGACTATATAAGAAATTGATGCTCCTCCTGCCCCCAACCAAACTCACCATAATTTTCTTTCCATGGACCTTCTGCCCACACTTCCTCAACAAAAATATCAGCAGTAAGTGTTGCAGATCCAGCCAGAATCATTGTATCTGAATCACAGAATGTCCCTGTGAGGACAGACCTTCCTTGAAAGTGAATCTTAAATACCCCTCTTGTTTTATTTGATCTCTCACTGCCTCACAAGCCTGGGTAGGGTCCTAGGTATCTCATGGCCAAGTCCATAAGAATCCAGGGACACTAATCTGCCCCCATCATCCATCTATTAATGCAAGTCACACCTCTAACATGGCACTTTCAATCACAAACCAGAAATTACAATGAGAATTTTCTGTTTTATAGAACCCTGAATTATTCAACTCGTTTTGCATTCAGCACAACATTGCATGAAATGCTTGGATGATTATGACACTGGAATGTTTCTCTCTCTCTCTCTCTCTCACACACACACACATACACACCCACACTTATTGTTATGTTATAGACCACTAAATAGAATTATTTGGATCTGCCCTCACTTCAAGGTTTCTCATCACTTTCCCATTGCTGGAGTCCCTCCAAAATTGCTTTATGTGTACTTTCAGGCATGAACCTCAATGACCACATACCATGTGCTTATCATTTAGGATGCCCCCCATACTGTATGCCCCCCATTTTCCTCTCCTGCCTGCTGTAGCTTCCTGCCTTGATCTGCTACCATGCTATGATGCCTCCAAGTCCAACATCAAGGAGCTACGGCTTCAGGTGGCTCTGCCAAGTTCCTATGAAACCAATCCCCATGGGTTCTAGGTTCCATCTCCTATAAATGCAAGCCCCCATTGGCTGTAGAGGGTGAGCATGGTAGTTAACATTATATGTAAACTTAAAACTGAAATTCTTGGAGAAGCCTTTCCTGACTCTTCCCCTACTTTAGGATCTCAGATTATGGTCCCATAACACCTTATATGTTCCCTATCATGGTACTCACTGTGTTTAATTTTAAGTATTAATGTCTTAAGGAAGAAGTGTCTGCCTCATTCACAATCACACTGCTCGTGCCTAATACCTATTCTGGTGCTTAGCACAAAGTGTGTACATAATATACGTGTGTGTGTGTATATATATATATATATATGCAAAACAAAAGCAATTGAATTTTGATGTACATAATACTTACTTTGGGAGTTTATTAAAAATGTGTGTGTGTGTGTGTGTGTGTGTGTGTGTGTGATATCACATTCAGTGAATTTATGATGCAAACCAGGAATTTGCAGTGGCTCAAACATTTTTCAAGTTTTTTATGCAGAAGAACATTTAGCAGATATTTATTTAGTGAATTAATATTTGAATAGCTGGATGGATATATATATACAAACACATCAATTAGCCATTTAATTAATGAATGGACAAATGAATTTTCAAGCTAAGACTAGATCTGAGATTGTGTTGACTCCACTATGATTCTTTCTTCCACAAGGTCTAGCCTGGACAGGCAGCAAGTCTTGCCTTTGACGTGTTTTTAAAAGCAAATGCAGATCGAGACCACCCTGGCTAACACGGTGAAACCCCATCTCTACTAAAAATACAAAAAATTAGCCAGGCGTAGTGGCGGGCGCCTGTAGTCCCAGCTACTCAGGAGGCTGAGGCAGGAGAATGGCATGAACCAGAGAGGCGGAGCTTGCAGTGAGCCGAGCCACTGCACACTTGCACTCCAGCCTGGACTACAGAGCGAGACTCCGTCTCAAAAAAAAAAAAAAAAAAAAAAAGCAAATTCTCTGAGATGAGATAGTTCTCTGATTCCCTGATAATCATCATTATATTTTACACACCCCACCAACACTTCAAATGAAGCCTTTGCACTAAGTCTTTAAAGAAACAATTAGGAACAAGACAATATCATAATTGACTTGGAAGTAAACACTAGGTTGCTATTTAAAAAGCTATCATCACCTCAAACATAAACTCAAGACTAACATTGAATAAATGCAGAAAACACATGTATTAGTTGAAAATGAATAAAACAATATTTATAAAATAAGCAATTTGGATTGGATTAATGTTTATAAATGTGTTTACATATGAATGGAATATTAACCTATAGCTTGAAAAGGTTTAATTAGCCTTGGAATATTGTTTTGGAGAGCAATGAAAAGAAACCAATTCACAAAGGGAAAGGCAAAGGATATCTGCAAGCACAAATGAGGTCAATTAATTAAGCAATTTGCATACATTGGAATGGTTATTTTCACAGCTTTTTAAAAATATTTGGCTCTTCCTATTCCCATATTTTGTTTCCAACATTCTATTTATAAAACGTATCAATCATCCAGCCACTCAGTGCATCATGATCAGCTCAGGAGCCACTCTGGAGCCCATTCTTCATGAGAATGAGTCATCTCCGCAGAGAAAGACACAATAACTTGTTCATAAGAGCCCCAGAATGACAAGGGTGGGAAATTAGGTTTAAACTAAGCCAATAAATGTAATATAGAACATTAATTATTGGGGTACACAACAATGAGAACACAATAGAAGTTCAATAATTATTTGTTTAATGAGTGAATAAATGAAAGCTATCATGGAGTCTCAAGATTATTGAATGTAGTGTTTTATAAAGATCATTGCATATAGTATATTTCAACCCCTTTTAATCCCCATCCTCAATATGATTTAGCTGTCTATATTTTATACTTGCCCATCTCTCAGGAAGATTTTGCGAAGTCTTACATTATTCCAGTTGCTTTATAAAAATAATATGTATATTCAATATGCTTTTACAAGTGAGTTATCTTGTCTCTCCAGTTTTGACCAGCTCCCATGAGGATTGCCACCCTTCTCAATATTAAGTCAGTATTATTGAGATTCCTAATGCAAAGTCATATAGCCGGTTAATCAAGCAGTGATAAAACTAACTAGATATACAATTATACCTAACCTCTATCTATCCCCCAATAAACATATAAGGAGGTCATTGTTAATCAGATGCCCAAGAACTATAAGTGGTATAGAAGGAAGATTAATAGCACCACTGAGAAACAGCACATTCTTTATGTGTACATTGTAATACATCCAGCTGTATAGAATGCTATTACATTCATTATTCAATATCAATTTGTAAGAGAAGTATGGGAGGTGTCATTTTCCTCGTTTAAAATAGAAAACGTATTCCTTTCATTGGAATGGGATATCTGAAGCACTATTATTGCTATACTCATTATCATCCTAAGAATTTCTCAGCCTCAGGCCAAGAACTGGTACAGAGAGCTGTACAGAAAGGAAATCCATTTGCTCAGAGTGGGGTTGGCATTTTGTATTGTCATGTGAACAACCCCTGCATGTCGTAATTATCAGGACTCTTGAAAGTATTCTGCCCATATTCTACAAGTTCCCCAGTTTATTTGATGATATTTAAAAATATTTAACAGTGGACAGAGCCTTTATTTCCACAGAGATAGATAGGATAAAAAGGATGGTAATTACAGAAATAATTGTGTATGCTAACAATAAAAATTAAGGCATGTAGAACCTAAATCTGTAAATGTAAATCCTGTCTTTCCAGTAGTTTCCATTGGGTATAAGTTTAGACAGAGCCTGATAGAAGTAAGTTCCTTAATGATTTTGTCAATGAGTTTATTAGAGAAGGTGGCTTTGATAGAAAAATTAATTCATGGACTGGGCATAATGCCTCATGCATGTAATCCCAGCACTTTGGGAGATTGAGGTGGGAGGATCCCTTGAGCCCAGAAGGTGGAGACTTTAGTGAGCCAAGATCAGGCCACTTCATTCCAGCCTGGAGAACATAGTGAGCCCCCGTTTCTACAAAAAAATAAAAAATAGCCAGGTGTGGTGACACATGCCTGTAGTTTTAGCTACTTGAGGATCTGAGGTGGGAGTATCCCTTGAGCCCAGGAGATCAAGGCTACAGTGAGCCGTAACCATGCCACAGCATGCCAGCCTGGGTAACAGAGTGAGACCCTGTCTCAAAAAAAAAAAAAAATTAATGGAAGGCATTCTGTTATACTGAAATCGATCTTTGCTCACTTACCAACTTTGTCAAGATCTGGATCTAGATGATCTCTCTTATTTTCCTATCAATCAAATATTTGGCTTATGAGTTCTACCTTAGAAACTTTGAAAGGGCTGAGAGTGTAGTGTGAAGTGCACTGAAGTTGGAATCACATCATTTTGTTTAAAAAAAAAAGAGTAGGGAAATTAATATATTGAGAGCTTGCAATGCACCAGATATTATACTAGGTCAACTAATATGCATTAGCTAGTTGAATCATTACAGTAACTCTTTGAGAAAGAAATTACTCTTATTTTATTTATTTTCCAACTGAGTCTCAGGGGATGTTTAAATGTGTTTTGTTTCCTTTCAGTAATAAGGATTAGAGCCGAGACTTGAGCTCAAATCTGTTTGACCCCAAATTACAGATCCTCACTTTTGTATCTACTGTTTGCTAACTATGGGGTAGACTCCCACAGCCCTTTTGAGTACCTTGAGGTTAGATAACTTAAATTCAGTCCAGGGAGAGTAGAGTATCTTCTCCAGATAATGAGACTACTTTCCATTTTCCCTTCTACATTCAAATTACAGAATTTGAAGACTCATGGCCAAGCTACCATTTCCCAGAAACTGGAATGGAAAGCTCTGTTCAGCCCCGACTCACCCCCAACACATTTAGGTTTCCTTAACTTGAATCTTATTTTTAATTGATACATAATATTTTACATATTTATAGGGTATGTGAGATTTTTTTACATGCATAGAATGTGCAATGATCAAGTCGGGGTTTCAGAATTTATCATGTGTTGAGAACAGTTTAAGTCCTCTACCTTGTTGCTAAAGTCACTCTTCTCTGCTAATGGACAATATAATTTTCTTAATCTTTTCCTGCTTTCCTTTCCCTTTCATTTCCATTCATTTTATGTAGTCTTAGACTCATGCTTCCTTCCTTCCTAATCTATGAAGGAGACACGGCACAGGGAAGCAGGCGCAGGTTTTAGAGTAAGCAAAAAGCAGATTCTGAGCATGACTGAGAGACTGGTTCACTGTGAGACTTTAAGCAAAATGAACTTGGTCTCATTTTCCTCTGTCTTTCAATAGGAAAAATAATTATGAAACCAAAATGCTATGAGTATAATATATCTAGTTTGCAAATTGAGCTATCGTTTTTCTCAGTGACTCTTGAGGTTCAATTCAATTCAGCAAATATTTGCTAAGGGCACATTACGGCAAATGATGACCAGGGATAGGAGTTGGCCTTTTTATAAGGCTAAGTAGCTCCCTATTCAAGCCACTATCTCCAGTAAAAAGGACCTTCCTTGCTGACTGCATAAGTCATTTCTTCTTACACTCTGATCTTTATGATTTGTCTTTGTCTCCTGTTTCCTACCTTCCACAGACCTGCAGAAACCTAAGGCTTTCCTTCTCCCTTTGTCCTGCCTTGAATTATTTCCCTGCTTCCATGCTAGTTTCCAGCTACAAAGGAAAACAGCTGTGCATTTCTCCACCCCATTCCAGGACATTGTGCCTTGGTGCTAGCTCCTTGGAAGGAGATTCACCCCATTTGCGTAAAAGCAAACCATCCAAGGAGCACAGAGTTAAGCTCTGAGGACTTAACACAACACCAGTTTTTCAATTTAAAGAAAAGAAAGTGGTATCAAATGTACATGCTTTCACTGACTTTTACAGATTTTTAGCCCTGAATGTTCCTTAGAAATAGATGCCCATCCAAATGCTCTAATCCCATTGCTAGCTGGGATTCCCTTATTGCTCAGTTCTACACACACAAGACCATACGGGCTTTAATAACAAACACTGTAAAGTTCCTAACTTGTTCGAGTAGTTCTTTATGTCTGCCTGTCTGTCTATATATTTTTAAATTTATTTTAAAGGGAGAACAGGAAGTAGACAGAAAACCAGTATCTGTGAATCCATTCATCATTCATTACTTCTGAGACGGGTGCCTTGTTCCCAAGGAGCTCCTCTCCTAAAGCCTTCAGAATCAGCCAATTTCTTTCACTCATCTCTGTTGACTCATTAATGCTAATGAATACCAACCAATATGCTCTTATATTATGAAAAATAAATCCCAAGTAAAGTTGCACTACCTCCTCTCTAACCAAAACAGCCTGGAAATTTCACTAAGTCAATTTAACTGAAATTTGATCATTTGAAACAAATATATTTGCCTAAGTCAAAATCTGAGCAACTATAAACCGTAGGGAAAGGACATTGAGAAGTTCACATTTAGTTTAAGCCTCAATACAAATTCTAAGTTTGTGTTTATTTTGATCAACCTTCCTTTCTATCGCAGGTGTTTTCATGAGAAACTAATTCCTGTGGACTAAGTATTGCTTCTGACTGTAAATATCATATATTAGAAAAACCAGAGACATCAGCATTAGCAAATTGAGTGGTAGATACTAACGAAGTTCATTAAATTACTTTCAAGTTTGTTCATAATTAAGCTAAAAAGGTTAATTAAAACAAAACATGACCACATTTGACAAGAAAATGATAAATTAGATATGGATAAATTATTAAAGGCTTAACTAAGTAAAACTAGCTTAGCGTGTGCTTTTTAGGTTTACCTCTTCTACTCACTCATTTATTAACATGCCAATGAAATACCCACTCTGTTCTAAATTTTATGTTAAGCACAGTGCAGAATACAAAGATAGAAACTCAAAGTCCTTGTACTCAAAGAATTCCCATTGAGTGAGAAAAGGATACCTGTGTCATACAATGACACTAGAGATGTAACCCTGTAGTTCCAGATGAGCCTTTGTTAGCTTATCCATGTAGCAGAGTAAACTCCTGCAGGGAGGGAGCAGTTACACTGGGCGTGATGACAACATGTTCATGAGGAGACCGCAGTAAACCGGCTGTAGAAATGGGAAGCACCTGAAAGAGGAAGAAGCTATTAAACTTGCGGAGGTAGAGGCTGCTCAAGTTTCCTTCCACAGAGCTGAGGCTCCTTGAACATGGCCAATTTGTGGTGACATTTGTATCAGACTTTAGGCAAATGGGCAACACAAAGATAAGCATAGTGCGGATCATCTCAGAAATCTAAATATAGTACTAGAGTGTTTGCATGTATGTTTGATTTTGAAAGTATATGTTTCTCTTCTGAGATTAAAAATAATCTTTGTATCTATGGATTAACATTGAAATTAGATTACAGTTGTTTTCATTTTGTTTTATTTTATATATGTCTTTCTTTGGCAAAATAATACAATGACAGTTCTATACTGGTATGTGTCAAGTATACAAAGGAATGCACACAGATATTTGAACATAAATTTTATACACACATACATGAATGTGTGTATGTGTACACATTTATACATATATATGTGTATTTATTCATATATGCGTATGTGTATCTGTGTATTTAAATACACAAAGCTAAATACATAAATATGTATTTGTTTGTAAACATAGATGTATACATACATGCACACATACATTTGAATGTATAATTTGTCATGTCCAAAGGTTAGCATGAGGAGATAACACACCATACTAAATACTTACTTGTAAGAGTAAGAAACATGCTCCGAGAAGGAAAAGAGTGTTTTTTATGGATTGAGGAGGAACTTATCTCTTGAAAGGACAGACATGCCCCTGGCTAATGTTCATTTAATAATAGTCATAATAATAGTCACACTGTTCTGTTTTATTTCTTCCCATTGTTCTTTACTTCTTGAAAATAGCATCCCTTCTTTGGAGGGGAAGCAAACTTTGAGGGAAGACAAATGACAAACATTTCATAATCCATGATGGTCACTTAAGGGAATAAAGAGCAGCTTTCTATATCTTTTGCTTGCTTCTTTCTTCTAAAGCTTGAAGCTTCTTTCAAGAGACAGATGCCATTTCATTTTCTCAGTTAGTCTAGCTAAAGTTTTGTCCTTTTTATTTTTCAGAAAACAACTCTTGGTTTTACTGATTTTTTTCTATTGTTTTCCTTGTCTCTATCTCATTTATTTCTGCTCTAATCTTTATTATTTACTTCCTTCTGTTAACATTGAGCTTAGTTTCTTCTTTTTCTATGTCCTTGAGACTGCATCCTAGTCATATTAAAAGATGTTCAACATCATTAGTTAACAGGGAAATGTAAATCAAAGCTGCAACTTATGCATCTCATAAGTTCCTTAAGCTTTGTTTTCACTAGTCTCAAGATATGAGGAACATAGGTGCAAAAGTACTCAATAAAATACTCAAAAATTCAATTCAACAGCTTAATAAATATCTCTGAGATGCAAGCATGTTTCAACAAATGCAGATCAATAAATGTGATACACTAGATTAACAGAATGAATGATAAAAAAATCACATGATCTCTCAGTAGATGCAGTATTTAACAGAATTTGACACCCTTTTATGACAAAAAATGCTCAATAAATCAGGTAGAAAAGGAGTGTACCTCAACATGTCCCTGTTTGCAGATGACAAGAACATATGCATAAAAAACCATAAAGACTCTACTAAAAAGCTGCAAGAACTAATAAATAAATTCAGTATAATTGCAGGATACAAAATCAATATACAAAAGTTAGTTGTATTTTTACACTCTAACAACAGATCAACCCCTATGAATTAAGAAAATCCCATTTATAATGGCATCAAAAAGAATCAAATAGGAATAAACTTAACCCAGGAAGCGAAATATTTGTAACCTGAATATTACAAGACAATGATAAAAGAAAAGAGACTGAAATAAATAAAAAGAATGCTTATGTTCATGGATTGGAAGATATAATATGGTTAAAATGTTCATTCTATCCAAACTGATCTACAGATTCAATAATATCACCATCAAAATATCAATGATGTTTTATAAAGAAATAGTAAAAACAATTCTAAAATTCAAATGCAACCACAAAAGATGTAAAATATCCAAAGTAATCTTGAAAAAGAAGAACAAAGCTGGAAACATTGCACTTTCTGATTTCAAAATAGATTACAAAGCTACACTAATTAAATCAATATGGTATTTTCATAGACAGATAGGCCAATGAAACAGGATAGAAAACCCAGAAATAAATCCACCCATATGTGGTCTGATCTTTAACAGAGGTGCCAGGAATACACCTTTGTCAGCTGGAAACAATAGCCTCTTTGACAAATGGTGCAGGAAAAAAAGGACATTCACATTCAAGAAAAATAAATTTTTACACTTAACGCTGCACACAAATGTCAGCTCAAAATGAATTAAAG
The DNA here is from genome assembly GCF_000001405.40 of Homo sapiens. Lineage (NCBI taxonomy): Eukaryota > Metazoa > Chordata > Mammalia > Primates > Hominidae > Homo > Homo sapiens. The sequence goes on along the minus strand of NC_000008.11, from coordinate 136,086,719 downwards.
ACTTAAATGTAAGACCTGAAACTGTAAAACTTCTAGTAGAAAACATAGGAGGAAAGCTTCTTAACATTGGCCTTGACAATGGTTTAGTGAATATGACATGAAAGGCATAGGAAACAAAAATAAAAATGGAGAATGGGGATTACATCAAACTAAAAAGCATCTGCACAGGAAAGGAAACAATAAACAGAAAAAATGGCATTGTATACTGCGGGAAAAAATATTTGCAAATCAGATATTTTAGAAGAAGATAATTTCTATAATATATAAAAAACTTCTACAATTGCATAGCAAAAATAATATTATTAATATTAGCCTTATCTAATATTATTAATAATCACCTTATTTAAAAGTGGGTAAGGGAACTGAATCAACAATTCAATTCTCCAAAGAACACATACAAATGGTCAACAGGTATTTGAAAATATGTTCAACATCATTATTTAACAGGGAAATGTAAATCAAAGCTGCAATGACATACCATCTAACACTTGTCAGGCTGGTTATTACCAAAATTAAACAAAAAAAGAATTACTGAGAATGTTGTGAAGTCAGAATCCTTGTACACAGCTGATGGGAACATAAAGTGGCACAGAAGCTGTGGAAAACCATATGGAAGTTCCTCAAAAATTAAAAAGAGGACCATCAGGTGATTCAACAATCCTACATCTGGGTATATATACAAAATAATGGAAATTAGGATTTTGAAGAGACCATCTGCACTCCCACTTTTTTTTTTTGCAGCATTATTCACAATAGTGAAGATATGGAATCAACCTATGTGTTCATTAATGGATGAATGAATAAAGAAAATGTAGTGTGTTGTGTGTGAGATAGAGTGTGTCTCTGTGTGTGTAGTATGTATATATGTGTGTACACAGTATTTTATATACATACATATATATATATATATATATAAACACAATGCTATTCATCCTTTAAAATTTTTAAAAAATGCTGCTATTTGCAACATCATGAATGAACCTGGAGGACATTATGCTAAGTGAAATGAAGCTAGTCACAGAGAGGCAGATACTGTGCAATGTAATTTATATGAGTTATCTATACTAGTCAAACTCCCAGAAGGAGATAATGCAATAGTGATTGCCAGGGGCTGTGGGAGTGGGTGAAAGAGGAGTTGTTCCATAGGTATAGTTTCAATTATGCTAGATGAGTAAGTTCAAGAAATCTGCTACACAGCACAGTGCCCATACTTAATACAGTTATCATGCACTTCAAAATTTCGTAAGAGGGTAGACCTCATGTTAAATGTTGGAACCACAAAAAATAAAAACAGAAACAAAAAACGAAATCAAAGAAACACAAGGAAACTTAGGGATGTGTTGGACATATCGATGACCTAGGTTGTGGCAATGGTATCATGAGTCTTTGCAAAGGTTAAAACTTATCAAATGGTATATATGAAATATGTGCAGTTCTTTGTCTATCAATAACACCTCAATAAAGTTGTTTTTTTAAGAAAAGGAGGCACTCCACATCCAATTTAATTTTCTCCAGTTTTTTTTTTTTTTTTTTTTTTTTTTGCATAATGTCCACCCTCTGCTGATAGGGCAATACTAATTATCAAGGGGCTAGAATTACACCTACAGCTTTTCAGAGCCAACTTAGGAGATATTCTTCAAGATGAGGAACTGAATCACACCATATTTCCTACTCCCTGCCTTCAGGATTTCATTCTCACTTACAAGGATACACCTATTCCTGTCTCTGAGAGTTAAATGATAAACAAAATGCTCTCCTCTCACTCCACTTCTCACGGTTCTAGGAACAGAAACTAGATGGATCATATAATCAAATATTTAGTAGGCTTGGGACAGTGAGACTAGTTATTAGAATTAATAAAGGCAGACACTATACTCCATTGCATACTTAAGCTAAGTGGAAGAGGACATGGTTCAAAATATTTTTGATTGCTCCTAAAATAGATTACAGGAAGCTATGAGTACATTTCTAGTGTTCATAAGCTCACTAGGTTCTCAAAATATCCAACTTCTTACAACTTAAGCTTAAATGTCCCCTACCTATTCCAACATCCTCCTTGAAATTTCCCACTCAAGAAATCTTTTTGACTATTGACTTTTTTCCCTCAAAATGGGGGCAGAAGAAAAGAGAACAGTGAGGAACTATGGTACTTTTTTAGTGCCTACCTTGCACCAAACTCTGAGCTTGATACTTTTAAGTAAAGAGCTCATATTATCATAACAAGCACTTTGCTCATTATATATAATTTTACCCATCATGCAAATGAAAAAAAAAAAAACCAGCACCTCAGCAAATTCTCCGGGTCATCTAAGTAGAGCAAGGTAAGGTTATGCCTGGGCCTGTCTGGCATCAAAGCCTGTACCCTTGATTCTCAGCACACAGCACTGCAGGATCCCTTACATTTGCTTTCCACAATTTTGCATTTCATCTTGGCTACATGTTTTGCCCCTATTTCATGTTTATTGCCTTTATGTTCCCTAAGAAAACTGTAATTGTCTAGGAAGCATCCTATTTTGCTTGAATACAGTAAGTCAGGATGCAGTGAATGGTTATGACGGAGGTACAAAACATGGCAGAGTGCGCAGAGGAGAAACTGAATCAGGAACTGATCAAAGAAGATGGTCTCCTGTGTTGGACAAGGATACATGTGTATGGCGAAACCCAGAGCGTAAATCAGTTCAGTAGGACCAACTGGGGCACTTTTCCTTCTAATCTTTCTTCTGGCATGTTGAAAACATATTGCATCTCACTGTCATATAGTTTTTAAATATTACCAAAAGTTTTCTAGACCTTAGTCAATGCCCCACATCATTTCAGTCAATATAATTACATGAATGTTTTATACTCACCCAAATTCGTGACACTAACCCATGAAGCAGTGAAGCCATAAAAATTATTACAGGAAAATTAACAAACTCTACTTTTCATAGAAAATAATTATTTAATATATCATATTTAAGTATTCATTTATTTTATTATTGAAATGAAAAAGAAAATTCCCTACACTTAACAAACTCATAGTCTTTCTCAGGAAATACACGTGCCTGGATTTGTCATGTCAGCTCAATTCGGTGCCAGGTACATGACCTTAGACAAATTATTTCACTTTTTTAAACTTCAGGGGTTTTCGTATCTATAAGATCGAGGTGATGACATCTCCTTTGCAGAGATTTTCTAACTGAAAGGACCATACGACCTCAACAACATAACATTTAACACACAGTTTTCAATAAACCTTACCTGAACCTGACACGAAATTTTGGTGGCAAATAAATATCAAGGCTCAGGATTTCTGGTCATTTTAAGTTTTGTCTGTAAGCCCATCATTCTGAATTTATTCATGCCTGCCACCAGCAGGCAGAATGCCAGGACTCTGTTAAACATTTTTTAGCTCATATTTAGTGAGGAGTCACAAACCAATGACTGGTTCTTTATAATTATGCACACACACAGAGAAACATTACATATTACACAAATATTTACTTAGCTCCTTCCCTGTGCTAAGCCCTATAGGCAATAAAAAAAAATCATATATGCATCTTGTTGTCAGGCACTTAAAGTCAAGCAGGGGAGATAAGAGACATAAATCACCGGAATGTAAGTTTGAAATGGATCATAATAGCTAGAATTTATTGAACATCTATAGTGCACCTGGTGTTTCTTCACTTGGTGTTTCTTTTTCTGAAATTAAACTTTCTTTGTTTTAAGGGGAACTCCTTTTCTTCCCCTCCCCACATACCACCTTGGCCAATAGAAGAGGGATTTTCCCCAAATCTCACATACTCTGCGAAGTACTGGGGGATGATGCTGAAATGCTGGAAAGGATGCTGAAATGCTGGAAAGGATGCTGAAGGAGTAGAGGAATGTACCATGGCAGGGCGGTGGCGTGCGGGGGTGGTTGTGCTGAAATACTGGAGATGTGCACAAGGAAATAGGCTTAAGTAACCCCAGGGTGCTGAATTACTGGAGGGTGCTGAAGTGCTGGAGAGGTGGCTGAAGTGCTAGGCTAGAGCTGAATTTCTGGGGAGGATGCTGAAATACTGGAGAGCGTGCTGAAGTACTGGGGAGGTGAAGCCCTAGGGAAAATGCTGAGGGAGAACACTGAGGTATGGGTAGTACTTCTGCTTTCACTCCATCTCCTTCTTTCTTAGTCCCCCACAGGACTAGGAGGATCTAACCCACTGGACCAAGTTTGCACTGGTTACCTGAAAAAATAAGACAAAGTCCACCATTTAAGTCTCCCTCTCTTTTTGCTTGTGGGTCAGTGAGAAATAGGATGCTCTCTCTGATGTGCAGTGTGAACCCACATGGGGCAGCACTCAGAGTCTGCCTCTAACCTTTTCTTCCTTCTCTCCCTGGAGCTCTGCTTCTGACTGTGACTTTCGTCTTAGCCAGTACAACCAAACTAATCATTCAGCGGCTCCAAAATGTTTGGTCTGTATCCTGATGCCATTTCCACATGGAAAGCAACCCTACAGAGAACAGGGCGGGTCTATAGCTACTGCCACCTTTTATTTATTGAGTGTTTACAAAACACCAGGAACTGGGCCAACAGTTTTACACTCATGATGCTCACAACAGCCCTTTCAGGTGACTAATAAGAAGGCTCACCTGACCAACACATTTCCCTGGGTTCACAAGTTTAATTCTCAGAGAACAAAGGTGCAATGACAGTGATTAATGAAGTAAGATTTATGAACGGATGAGGAGAGACACTAGCAAGGAAAGGGACATGCAAGAAGTGATGAAGAAAGGAGAAACTTTCAATGTATATCCTTGTAAAATCCCTCTATGAGATAATATGTTATCACTGCAAAACTCATTTTGCTTCTCTGCAGAACCATGACAAAATTTTCTAGGTGAAGGTCAATTCTGTTAAATTCTTAAACATTTTCTGAGCACCTACATAATTTTAGATAAAGCTTTTATGTGGGAAATACAGTAATAAAAAGAATGCTTGCATGGTCTTTGGAAACAACCAATGTTTTAGAGGCAGAGAGTCTGAGTTTAATTTTCAACCTTGCATTCTACAGCCATGTCACCTTGAAAACGTGAATTTACGTTTCTCGATCTCAGTTTCGTCTGTTAAATGAAACAATGACAACAAAAACTTGCACTGACGGTTTTCTGCTATCATCTAAAATAACAAGCACCTGAGAGTTAGCACCAGGCCAGAGCAGAGCTGGTAGCCAATGAACGGTGGTGACGAAAAAAAGCTCCAGGAGCAGAGGGGGTAACCCTCACTGTGATTCCTCAGTCTCTGAGGATGCCTGGGAGAAATCAGAATGGATGGGTTCAGAGTCTGGATACAAATTTGCAAAGTACATGAAAGAACAGAGATCGAGTAATAGCAACTCCGTTTTGAATAGTCCTTGAAGTTCACTAAACAAGCCTTGATCCATTAACCGGATCCTCACTACATTCTTATAAGATAGGCAGGACATAGCATATTTTAAAAACTGTTGTTTTCAGGGAGCTCAGGGAGCTGAAGGGCATTTCCCAAGATCACATAGTTTTGAAGTGGCAGTCAGGGTCTAAAAGACACTTCTAATTTCATGGTTTTTAGCCAAAAGTCAATCCATTCAAGTCAACTGGAACTTCCAACTATATCAGTTCTTCTGTCCCATGTCTAGTTATCCTGGGATATGTTAAAAACAAAAAGCCAGTGCTAAGTGCCTGGGGGAGGGTGTGAAGAAGGATCTCTAAGGCTCAGAGACAGTCAGATTTGCAAAACACCCTGCCTCTCCCTTACTTGACTTTGTAGGAGCATCTTCTTGCTCTGTGGCCTCAAGGTCTTGGTAGGCAACAGGAGATGAAGTGGCTGACAACATTAGCTCCCTGTATGAGCCATCGGAGACCTTTCCAGAGCCCCAGCAATGCCCCTCCTGGCAGGCTGGGCTGGACTCTGCCTGTATCGTGCAAACAGTAGAGTTCTCATCACACAGAAGCCCGAGAGCATGGCCTGGCTTCCTCATGCTTCATTAACTGTACTTCTATTTTTGCATCCTATCTTGTTTCCATTTGGTGTCAGAATGGAATCTCACCCTAGGGTCAGAGGCATTTGTGTCAGCGCCAGCCAAAAACAGATATGTCTCAGCAGTGAACTTTTTTTCCCCCAGGATCCCTTGGCCAAAACGTAGTAGCCTGGATTTCCTAATGGAAGAGGGGATGACAGTGGAGTGGTTTTTCTAAACATTACTAGGTCATAATGTTATAGTTTCCTCCTCCCTCCTTCCCTTCTTTCACTGTTTTCATATTTTTACTTAATTTTATTTAGTTAATGTTAACTGTACCTTATGCACCCTGCCAGGTTCCGAAAACTAAAGAGAATATATACACTTGCCTTGAGTTTCTGACAGTCTGTTGGGGAGGATAGGTACAGGTACATCAAAACAAATTGTGACACAGTGTAAGGGGTAACAGCGGTTGCCTGGCATGTTTGTGGAAGCTCAGAAGGGGAAGGTTTCAATTCTCACTAGGGAGAGCCAAGAGAGCAGGGGGACAGAAAGGCATCCAGTTTTGGGAGGGTACAGGTGCAGTTGTGTGAGGGGAGGAGCAAAGAAAGATGAAACACACACAAGTGGTCCTGTGCATCAACTCAAAGAGCCTGAGCATTAGCTTCGAGATGGTGGGTTTTATGGGGAAGAGCAGCCCTGCAAGTCCTACTGGAAAGCAATGGTGTTAATGTGGAGAGTGGGTCAGAGTGGGGGTGGGAGGGGGGCCAGTATATAGAAGAACAGTTGTGAATTGATGATGATAAATGGACCAGGGAAGGCCTATTTTCTTGGCACTCCCTGGACCCTGGAAAGGCTACATTATTCCACCACCTTGCATCCTTCAACACAATTCAAAATGAATATAATATTAAACCATAAACAGAAAGCTTACGCATATGGTCAAATTGAAATATCTCTCTTGTTTTTTTTATGAAATGGGCTATTCTATAAAAACTATATTGAAGCCAAAATCTTCTCATTTTTTGAGTCCCTGTTTATAGGTTCCCTGAGCATATGCTAACTAAGCATAGTGTGTTGGGAGAGGAGGTCCATGCAGGAGACTCCACAGAGACCAAACTTCTAATGTCACAGCCCTTCTGCAGCATTGAAGGTTTGGCCACCCAAGCACATGGCATGAATAGTGACATCTGAATGCATTTGGAAGGTTGTGAAGGTGCGACATGGCATGGCTTTATGAGTCTGGCATCCCAGCTTGGCTCACACTGGAAGGAGCACATATGACATCTGCCTACAAGTGTGCAACATATGCATGAGCCGGTGTGATGCAGTTCACGGCTCAGTTCACCTTGCGTTGCTAGCCCTTGTCACTCTACTCTGAACACTAGCTCACTTCTCTGTCTTAGTATGATTCCTTCTGCTTCATAGAGTTTCCCAAAAAAAGTAAGGCAGTGGAGGGAGTGTTTGATGAAGGCAGCTCAAGAGGGTACAGGTAAAAAAGAGTGGGAGAACAAGGTCATTGTCAAGGTGAAGAATGATGGCAGGCTCTCTCCTTGTGGTGGGGCTGATTCCTGTCTTGCCATGCAAGCCATATTATACAACAAGGTCATTGACATGCTTATCACCATAAATCAAGACACAGGTGATCATTCATTGCAACTGTCTATGAATTTCCCCTGACAGGGAGCTCAGGGCTCTGATCCAGAAGCCCAGATTCTCTAAATGCTGCATTATTTTAATGTGTGGCTATTGTGAGATAATTCATGATAAAGGAAACCCATTCTTCCTTTAGTCCTTCCCATAAACCCATCTCACAAAACACATATTCAACCTGCGCTTCTTCACTCCTGCTCACATCACAGGATGAAAGGAATTCACATTGCACGAGAGTCCTGGATATAAGTCTGAAGATGGAACAATGTATCTTTTTTATAAGGAGACCAGGATTTTTCAGGTATTCTGTGACTTTCTGAAAACCCTAGCCATCTCTTAGTCCATAACTTGGAATCTTTTAATGAGATAATATTCATAGTAGGAAGCATGATCACCACGGCCCTTCATTTCTTCATTTTGAATCCTCTCACTTCTATGTGTGTTCTCCAGTAATGGAAATTGTTTGCATTTCTCTAAATGAGCCATGCTCTTTCCTGCCTCCATGTTTATAAGTGCTGCCTTCTTTTCCATAGATAACTTCTATTTATTTTTAAAATTTCAGATACCACTTTCTCTAGGAAGTCCCCTCGGACTGGATTAGCTGCCTTTGCACTGAACCTTGATAGCACCTTGCCTTCCTCTATTGAAAATTCTATGCAACTCTGCATAGAGTTTCTTGAGGGAGAAATTCCTTGATTTTACTCTCACTGGTGGTAACACACATCCTCATTTCAATAACAACTTTTTATTGATGTGATGAACCCTACTGTATAAAATAGAAGCATTGATTACAAAACACATTTCAGTTTCACATTAAGAGATAAAACCATGTGGATCTTTCTACTGAGAAAATAAAATTTGTTTACTAAATTCTTTATTCTTAGCTCCTGGCACAGAGTAGGGATAGCAGAACCTGTTTACACATAAATATCCATGTGCTCCTCTTCATATTCAAGCCCCCAAGAAACCAGATGATACTCTGTGACTGTCCTCCCAAGGGAATGAAAGCCAAAGTGATGTGTCACTTCTGGTAAGAGGCAGTTAAGAGCAAATTAGCATCTTTTATTCCTTATTGTCACTGTGATTGGAAATGAAGGGTCCTGAGATGGTAGAGTAACAAGTGAATAGTGGTCTGAGGCTCTGCTTAACCATGCCCAACCTGAATAGAACTGTGATGGAAGTAAAAAGAAACCACTTTTTGCTTAAGATTAAGCTGTTAAGATCCCATATTTTTTCTTTCTGTTGTTGTCTTTGTTACTACATCATAGTCTATTTTATCTTTATTAACAGAATAGGTCAAAATATTAGTTTTATAAATGATTGCTTAAATTCTAAAATTAGAATGTCAATTGCCATGTTCAAGACAAATGAACAAATGGATATGATTTAGTTTTAGAAACTAAAAAGTGCTCTGCAAAAGTAAAGAGTTTCTTTTAGCAATGCAAGTACTGATGTTTTATACACCATCTATTTTAATCCTCACAACTCTGGATGATGTCATTTCCATGTGCAGGTGAGAAGTCTGAGCTTCAGCGAGTTTAAGAATCTTGCCCAAATCTGTGCATATGCAGCTAGTTAAGTGGTAGAGTCTAAATTCTGAACATGCTCTTCAATGTGAAGTCCAGACTCATTCCTGACCAGTCTGCCACAAAGAAGGCTTCCTCAGGATTGGAATTGCCCTAGGTCACTAGGATCACCGGGAGCTTTGTTTACAGCTCAGGAAGGGGCACCTCATGCAAAAGGAGAATTTCCAGGTCAAGAAGTCTGGACTACTGAGCAATGCAGGAATGGCTGAGCTTTTCCTGTGAAAGCTGTATGGCTCTCAGGTGACAGAGGCAGGAGGTAGAGAAACTCTAGGCAGACAGAGGCAGGTCCCTGGCAAAATTCCACCTTCAAACTGAAAAGCCTGAAACCCACAGCCCAAAGTGAGAACTTCTATCCCTGTTTGCCCACTCTCTCTCGATTGGTTCTTTCTGAATAATGTCTTTTTACCAATTCCAAAACTACCTATGGCCCACCTCACCCCACTATTCTGTGCCTATAAAGACCCAAGACTCAGCCAGTAGAGAGGAGAAGCAGCTGGACATCAGGGAAGGGCAATTTGACTTCAGAGACAATGGCTGGGCATCAGAGAAAGGTGACTTGACTTTGAAGGAGAGAGGCAGAGAGGCAACTTGACTTCAGGGAGAGCAATCTGCCCTCCCCATCCCCTTTCCACCTCCCCTCTCCACTGAGATCCGCTTTCATCACTCAATAAAATTCTTCACATTTATCATCCTTCAATCTATCTGCATGACCTCATTCTTCTTGGGCACTGGACAAGAGTTTGGGACCCACCAACTGTGGGTATCCAAAAAGGCTGTCACACTGGCCCTTTGTTCTTGCTGGTAGAAAGCAGCTGCCCCATGCAATGAGGCAAAGGGTCCACTAAGCTAATAACACACTGCTTTCTGTAGATGGTAAAGCTAAGAAAGGATTGTAACATGCCCTCTGGAGCCTGGGGGTCACAGGCACCTTCACCTGGATGGCACCACGGGGCCTGCATGGAGTTTGCTCCTGCTGGCACCAAAGTGGTTAGCCCAGTTCCCACACTTGTTCAATCATGTGCTCCCTCTTGCAAGGGGTGGAGTGTGGCAGGCTGAGTAAACAGGGCAATTCTGTTGTGATTTCTGTGAAGAGGTCAAGGAAAAATCCTGAATCATGGGCACAGCCCCAAGTCCTCAACAGCAGTTCCTTAAGTAGTACAGAAGGTGTTATGCGACTGGTGTCTGGGGCTTTCATGAGAACCCCATGAACATGCAACTCAGCAAAGCCATCCCATTTGGATCTCAGTGGACACAGCCAAATGAGGAATCACCCACTCTGATCTGCAGGTGTTTTATGAGCCAAAACCTTCATAGGCAGGATGAGCCAAATTCAATATTACTGGGACAGCTCCTGAGTGCTCATGAGATTTCTGCTTGGTTCTCACATGGCATTGGTTTGAAAGGATAAATGATTAGTTAACAAATATATGTCATATGATCACCCTTTTCCAGGCTATATGGTAAGCCTTTAGTTAGCAGGATGCATATTACTTCAAACCAGACTGACAAGCTTCTGAGCCTAATGAAGTATTAAATCTAAGAGAAAACAGACACAAACAAATAATTGCAAATAATACAAAGGTCACAAGTTGAGTAGTTTGCAATTATGGTTTTTGAATCAGCCTGCCTTAGTAAAACCCTGGTCCCAGTGCTGATTAGCTGTCTTGCTCAAATGCTCTGAGCCTCAGGTACTTAGTATGTAAAATGGTGATAATACAACCACCTAAATTTATAATGCTGTTGTGAGGATTCAGTTAGATAATTCAGGTACACTACCTAAGAGGGGCAACAACACAGTATGCCCTTAGGAAATATTACCTATTAATTATGTTATTATTATTACTGAGAAGTTCAGAGTGCTGGACCCGTGTCAACCAGAAGGGTAAACTTAGTGGAGCCAGGAAAGTCTTTTGAGGAAAGGACGTTTAATGTCAGATCTAGAGGAAGGGTTGGAGTTAGTAAGTGAAGAGTCTTGGAATGTTTTCTAGAGTACTCCAACCAGAAAGATCAGCATGAGCAACAGGTTTAGGCACCAAAGAGATTGATGCAAATGGAATTATGCCTATATGGCAGAGGCATAAAGACTACATAGAGAGTATGCAGAGAGGTGGGTAGGGGCAAGGTTACAAAAGGGATTTGATGCTTGGGTATGGACTTCAAAGTGTATTCTATGCACAAGGAAAGTCCCTAAAGTGTATAGATTGCTTTACATCTGATTTTGGATTTTTCCAAGGTACGAAGGCTATTCCTGACTTGACAGGTTTTGGCTCCCAGATAGTCCCTTAATAATTTGTGTCAGTATATCTCCAAAATAGATCCCCAAATTCTACCATATCACATTACTCCAAAACCAAGAACCTAGTAAAAGCCATGGTCTTTTCTGAATTTCTGCACGAGCCTCCTCAGCTGCTATTCCTGTTTTCTCTCATGCCACCCCCACTCCACCCAACAGCCTAATATCCTGTACTCAGCAACCAGAGTAATCTCCCTAAAGCGTAATCAGATTATGTCATCTCCTGCTTAAAACCATCTAATCATTTTCCTTTTCACTTAGGAAAAAAAACCCAAAATCCTTACCATGATGTACACAGTCCTATATAAATTCGACTTTCTCTTTTTTGATCATTTCAGTTTCAATTCAAAAATATGCTTCTAAGGGAAACTTTTTCTAACAACTCCAGGTAAAGCAATACTCTACCTCCCTCCCCCATGAAATAAAAATTATTGCTTTCTATACATAATTCCTGGTATAATTTTAAGTGACTTTACCAGTACCTGAACACGTCTCCCATATTCATTTGTCCCTGCATTCGTCATTTTTCCCCTCCCTAGAAGACAGATTCCACTGGGCAAAAATTTTCTCTGTCTAATCCACCATTGTGTTCTCAGCACATGGAAGAACTTATGGCACAAACTAAAGAGGAAAGTTTGATTTGGTTTGGTTACGCTAGTTTCAGGCCTCCATGCATTATAAGATTGTCAGATCATAACACTGTGATTATTGCAAACCCCAAATCCTCTTGGGTCTGAGTTTCATCTGGCTATTACCAGTCACTACCATCATCATCATCATCATCATCATCATCATCATCATCATCATCATCAATTTTTATCTGCAGAGTCAACAACACCTTCCTACAAAAATAGCTGCCTCTACCAAAGACATTCCATATGCCAGGTACTCTGGCACTTTCTCCTTGAATCTCCAGAATAAGTGCAGGCTGACACCATTTTCTTTATTTTTCACATGGATATATCCTTGCTCAGAGCTCAGAAAGTTTCAATGACATTCAAAATCACATAGCTAATATGTGAGAGCATGGGTTTCAAGCCCAGATCTGTTTGACTCCAAATGCTGGGCTTTCTACGAAGCAACCCTGTTTCTCCCATTTTATTCCAAGTTTTCTTGGCTCATGAATATTGGCTGGGTCTCCAGGATGCCATCTCATCATCATCCTTTGAATTTTTTCAACTCATTTCATTCCACTCTTTCCTTCTGCAAGGACCATGGCTTGAAATTGATTTCTGAATCCTCTACTCTTGGCCACCATATGCAGAATTCTCAGCACAATCACTTATCAGGAGGACCTAAAACCAAGTCCATTTCAATTTTCATTCCAAATAGGGGAGGATAAAAATGTTTTGTATAATCAAATTGGTAAGATCAGGTTATTAAAACAAACTCACTGGAGGGTTCTCAATGTCTACATTTGATCTTTTTTTTGTCTACATTAAGTACTTTGTCTTAATTTTAATGCAAAAGACCTGAGTCTCAGACAATCCAGTGTCTCGATGTGCGCAACTCTTTTTTTTTTTTTTTTTTTTTTTTTTTTTTTTTTTGAGACGAAATCTCGCTCTGTCGCCCAGGCTGGAATGCAGTGGCGCAATCTCGGCTCACGGCAAGCTCCGCCTCTCAGGTTCATGCCATTCTCCTGCCTCAGCCTCCCGAGTAGCTGGGACTACAGGCACCCGCCACCATGCCCAGCTAATTTTTTGTATTTTTAGTAGAGACGGGGTTTCACCGTGTTAGCCAGGATGGTCTCAATCTCCTGACCTCGTGATCCCCCCGCCTCGGCCTCCCAAAGAGCTGGGATTACAGGCGTGAGCCACCGCCCCTGGCCGATGTGCACAACTCTTAAGAGTGAGAGACTGGCAGGAATCTGCTTACCAATTCCCTTGCAAAAAATTATTTAATAGAAATGAAGATATTGTCTTTCAATGAGTGTGATGGGAAAGTGCTTTTTGTTTGCATTATGTTAACCATTTTGGAGCCCAGCACATTAAGCATGCTTTTGAAATAACACTAATAATAAGCAAAGAGCTGCAGATTTGAGTTAAATCTTTGACATCTCAAGAAAAAAAAAGTTAGGAAAACATGCCTCACATTTTCTCTCCCTTGTCAGATAAATTGGTGTTCTCTTGATCTTATATTGGAAATGTCTTGCAATTCAAGCCATTATAGAGAGAGAAAACACTTATTTGTCATCACTTCCCTGTGATACTTAGATGTGTTCTGTCAAAGATGATTTTTCAGACATAATTCATCCATGTGAGAATTGCTATTTGTGTTAATTAGTATGTGACAGCTCAGATTTCTCTCGAGGGCCTCCTAATTCTGTGGCTTATTTAAAGGAGAGGGAAACCAATCTATTGTGAAGTAATTGAGATATGGGCATAACATTTCTTCTGCTGAACCTCTTGCCCTAAGTGGTTTTGTAAGATGTTTATCTCAGATGTGGCCAAGAGTGTTTTCATGTGGTCAAGCTTTTTTTTTCTTCTTAAGATTTAATGCAAGCTGTTTCTTATCTGCACTGTTGAAGTTCAAAACTATTTGAAAGCTGAATGTTTTTTATAACCATCTGCAGCAAAACATTGCCTGAATTGTCATGAGTTGCTTTATAGTCTTTATTTATCTCATTAGTGTGAAAGTTTCTGTGGTTTACTGGAGAAACATTAACAGACTTACTAATGGTTTGTTGTCTCTGATCCACTGAGGACATTAGCTTCTAAAATTAAAAAAAAAGAGAGACAGGAAAAAGAAAAAAGAAAAAAAGGATTCTAAAGCACATCAAGCCCCAAAGCTTTGTACATTATTATGAAACTGTGTTTCTATGTTAATGACATTGGGTGGCTATTCATGTAGTTTTCATCAGTAGAAATACTTGAGTTCAATTAGTAGATACGCTAAGTTGATAACAAAGCTCATTCTTGCCTTGGCTCCCAATGCAACTCCCCTCCTTCATCCCCAATATAAAAGACCTCCTCTATTCTCCATAGCAGAAAAGCCTCACTATATTCCAAGGCCTGAATTCCTCCAGGATGCCTTGTCTATTTCTCTAACACAGAAATATGCACTGTTCTCCTGGAAAAAAATTCAAGCACACTTATCATGCATTGAAACAAGGACTCAGAGTTAATTGCATAAATCTCCCTACCTGACTATAGAATATATTTTTTCATTCATTTATTTATTTATTCATGGAATCATTTGTACGATTTTTAGACTTTCATATTAGGTCTTTATGTTAGGTACTTTTAAAATTGTTTTCTCTATTGATCACTGCAAAAATCTTTAACATACTTACTAATGTCTCTATTTTTTGTTTTACAGAACACTGAAACTCAGGGCTGAAAAAATCAGACAACTTTTCTAAGGACATATGGGTTGTAAATTGTAGAGTTAGGACTTAGGTCTTTCTGACCCAAAAGTTCAAGTTCTACTGATATTCCACAGTGTTTGGGGACATATTGTCCTATTTATTTTGTCATGGTCATGCTTTAGGTCATTGTCAAAGTAGTTTTTAAATAGGTGGTTAGATATACTGTTCTTTTTTTTTTTTTTGTAGATGACTCAGAGAAACAGAGACATTGCCTGTCTAACTATGCCTAATAGAACTAAGAATTCTGTCCAGGCCTTAGATTTTAGATTTTGACCTATTATTTCCTCTGAGGACGTTGTTTGTTTATTTTATTTGTGTTACAAAAGATACTATTAAAAACTCATGACACTGAAACGCAAAAAAGTATTACTTTTAATTTGAAGGGTCACTTTCCAACTGGCTATTATGATGGTTTGCTGAAAGTAAGGCACAAGACAGACCCTGCCCAGTTAGTTTTCTGCATTTCCCCCAATACTCTCACCTCTGACACTGCAACACAATTATCTACTGTTCACCCTCCAGGATGCAGTCAAGAGAGGGTAATCTGAGACTAGAGTGCACTCCTAGAATGACATACTCATCTATAGTTTCTGACCTCAAGTAATGTAATCTCATTTTTTCTGTGGTCATTGTTACAGTTCTCTTGTAATTTACTTCTTTTTTTAACTCAACAATGTATAATATGACTCATCCATGTTGATCTATGCTGTAGTGCTTTATTCTGACTCACTGCTGCATGGTATTCCAAGGTAAAAGTATACTATGATTAATTAATCCATCATACAGTAAGTGTACATTTTATAATTCTGAATTTAATTTTGTTTATTTACACATTTACCTGCTCTGTTATTCTACAAATAATTTTTGAGGACATATTCTATGGCATGCACTGTTTTAGGCAATGAAGAAATAGCAATAACTGAAGTTATGCTCTCATGAAGCTTACATTCTAAAGTGAAAACACACAAAAAATTGTGAATACACAATATGTCAGATGTGGAAAAAAATAAAGCAGAATAGGGGGTGAGACTGGTTGGACAGGAGAGTATAGCTATTGTATATGGCACAGTTAGGGAAATCTTCATTGATAAGGTGACCATTTAAGTAGAGAACTTAATCTGGTGTTCTCTGAAGAAAAACTATTCCAAACATTATGCAAAGGCCTTCAATAAGTATTGTTCTAGAACATTCAAGGAATGGTAAGTGTACCATTGCACCTAGACTAGGGTGGCTGAGAGAAAAATTGTACAAGATGAGGTCAGAAATGTTATAGGACCTCGTTAACCAAGATAAGATCTTTGCTTTTGTTCGAAGTCTTTGGGAAGATTTGATCAGAAGAGTAACATGATATGAATTACTATTAATAGAATCACGCTGGCTGCTGTGTTGAATATGGACATTAAAGAACCTGGGGCTGAGTCAAGGAGTCCAACTGGAAGGTATTGTGAGAATCAACTTCAGAGTTGATGGTAGTTTAGACTAAGGTAGTAAGAAATAAACCAGTTATTTAATATAATAGCGTATGGACATATTAGTGGGTTTGATTTTTCACACCTCCCTGTGTTCATACTGACACGGACTTTGTGCTCAACATGTGACTATTTTGGCTAACAAGGCAATAGTAAATTGAAGTAAACAGGATATTGAAAAAGTACTTGTGTTTTGCTACTTTCTCATCACCACAATAGCAACATACCTGGACTAGCATGCTCAAGGGATGTGAGAGATGCAGAGAGCTGAGTCATTCATGCCAAAGTCACCACAGCTAACCACAAGTTGACCACATACACATGAGGGAGCCCAGATGAGATAAGCACAGCTAGGTCCTAATAATCAGGTCTGCTCCATTGGACTATAGGCTTGAATAAAATATTAAATGATTATTGCTTTAAGTTTTGAAGTCATTTGTTATGCAGCATTAGCTAACTGATACACATATTATGAAGTCAGAGGAGATAAGTGAAGTGCTAATGGAAATTTGAAAATTATTTTCCATTTACTTCTATTTACTTTCAGAAACAGAAAATAAAGTCAATGGCTAAAAATGAGGATCAAAGATTTTGAAGAGTGAAGAGAAGGTATAAAATATCCATATAATAGAATGGAAAAGGGAAAAAAAACCTTAGGAGAATTCAGTACTATCATAAATTGATACCAAGATCCTATTGTGTTTTCCTGTGGACATATTCCACTGCGTGAGATAGGTGAGGAGGAGGTAGAGACTTCGATTTTTATCCAGGCTGGCTCTTTGTTTTTGTTTTTGAAAAAGGGGGAGATAGTGTCAGGACTCAGTAAACATTTTCTGTAAAGAGTAAAGTCATAAATATTTTAGACTTTGTGGGCCAGATAGTCTCTGTTGTGACTACTGAACTCAGCCATTGTAGCATAAAACCCGCCATAGAAAACGTGTAAACAAAAGAACATGGCTCTGTAGTGCAACAAAACTTTATTTACAAAACAGGTGGGCGGCATCAGGTCTAGGGAGTTGAAGGTGTCTGGAAGGGAATGATTATAACGACTATGTCATCAAATGTAGGTAAGAAAGATAATTCAGGGCATGGAGAATTA
Source organism: Homo sapiens (assembly GCF_000001405.40). Taxonomy (NCBI): domain Eukaryota; kingdom Metazoa; phylum Chordata; class Mammalia; order Primates; family Hominidae; genus Homo; species Homo sapiens. The sequence continues at coordinate 136,069,298 of NC_000008.11, read as the reverse complement.
ACACTCTTGCAAGTGTCAGTTGGTGCAAATGTGCATGAGTTTGTGCGTGTTTGTCTTGGAGTATTATGCTTTTCTTTAACATTACTCAATAATGATAGTGTTTGTTGTCTTTACTGTTTACACCGTTTTATTCTTCCAATAGCAGAGTAGGAAAACTTCTCCATATCCTTGCCAACAATTAGTACTCATCCTTTTTAATTTTTTTTTTTTGCTATTTTGGGGCTACAAAATGGTATTTTTTGTCATTTTAATACAATAGTTTCTTGGCTCACCATTTTTTCTTACATATTATATCTGCCATTGTGTTCAATACTAATAAACAATATGCAATAAATGGAAGTACAGACAAGCCCCATGCACAGGACCCAGGCTATGTTCATTGCTAGTCAGACCTGTGTAAGAAACAGACATGTGGTTGAACCTGATATATATATGCCCAGCTCTGTTACTGGCCCTAGGCCAAGCCTGATCAAGGTGGGGAGTATCTTGTGGCCTGAGGCCTAGTATTTGATTAAATCTAGAACAACAACAATTCAAATGCATTATTTATTTGCAGACCTAAAGATCGTATTACGCATCGCCATGTTTTGTTTATATTTGTAGTTTTGGGAAATGACTTTTTTTAGAATGCAAGTTTTTGGTCATAAATGAAAACATGAAACTCTATGGTGACTTAGCTCTTCCTTACATAGCATGTATTTGCAAATGGGCTTAAGGACAGGGTTTGAATGCCAGCATGTCACATACATAGATGCCAATGAATATTATATTTTGCCTCTAATGCAAATAGTGTTGCAAGCACTTTTGACAGTCACATTATTGTAAAAATAGTTCATTCTAAAAAATTTAAAAAACAGAAAATGTGACAAAAATACAATAAATTCATTCTGAATTCCACCACACAGCAATATCAATGTTTGATTATCGTGTGTGTGTGTGTGTGTGCTCAAGCACACACACACACTCTCAGTATTCATTGCATACAATATAGATGCTGCTGTGCTTTACAAAGAAGAAACTTCTGCAACTAGCAATTCTATAACCACATTCTAATTGTTTGCAAACTTAGTGACACCTAGCTTGATTTTTATTAGATAGTATTACTATCTCTCATAAGGTTTATGTTTCAGCGTACCTCAAGGTAATTGTAAGAGATGCATGGATCCTGGGCAGGCATCGGATGAATTCCTACTCCTGTCGCTTATCAGCTAGGTGATAGTATACAAAAGTCAATGATGGAGTTTTATTGATGGCACGCTAATTCCTGGGAATTGTTCTAAGCACCTTCTCCATGTTATCTCCTGTAATTCTCACAACAACGCAGTGAAGTAGGTAATATCATCTCTATCTAACATGAACACATCTTGGTACTAATACACCTACTCTCAGTAGATTTACTTGAAAAAAAAAGGGCAATAATAACTTCCAGATAGAGAAAATAATACACAATAGTCAAGTCTAAACCACTGAGCACTGTACCTGGCCCAGGGTATATACTCAGGAAATAATCATCCCTTTTCCTCCTTCTGATGAGGAATCAGGTCTTCTCAACAAATACCTCAATTATCTGTACAACCATCTAACTTAAAAAAAAAATAGCCATGGGAAGAGAAGAGAAATCACGCAGAAATCAAGGTGACATTGTCATTGCTCTCACAACCTTTTGATTTTATGGTCAGACAGGGGTTCTTATAGAATTGATGCTCTCAGAGGGTATGAATCTGAATCAGACCATATACATTTACCAACTTTGGCCCCAAATGTACTTGCCATGGAAAGACAATCTCCCAAATCTAATGCGAAGACTAGAAGGGCTTTGTCTGAAACAGACATCAGCATATAAATTGTCCCAGAATCACACCCAGGCAAGGACTTGAGTACCTTTCATTTAGGTGTGAGGAGAAAGCTCCATAAATGAGTAGGGAATTGAGAGGAGCAGGGAAGGAAGACAACAAATAACGCATTGATGAGCAAGTCACTGCTATGGGCAGGTGAAGATCTATACCATTGAAGACCCAGGAAGACTGCACAGAGACCATTGCTGAATTGAATTATCCCACCCCCAGGTAGTAAGCTTCTGTCCATCATCGGTTGAGGACTATTCTCAGGGGAGTTGCTCTCTGGCATTCTGGCTTGCCTCTGCCCTGCTTGTAGGCAGACCCGATGCTCTGATTAACAAAGACCTCAGAAAAAGAGTCATGTCTTTGGGAGGCTGAGGCGGGCGGATCACGAGGTCAGGAGATCGAGACCATCCTGGCTAACACGATGAAACCCGTCTCTACTAAAAATACAAAAAATTAGCTGGGTGTGGTGGTGGACGCCTGTAGTCCCAGCTACTCAGGAGGCTGAGGCAGGAGAATGGCGTGAACCTGGGAGGCAGAGCTTGCAGTGAGCAGAGATCGCGCCACTGCATTCCAGCCTGGATGACAGATCGAGACTCCGTCTCAAAAAAAAAAAAAAAGACTCAGGTATTATCAGAGGAAAGGCCCTGGGTAAAGAAAAGGTGAGTAATAAAGGGATAAGGAGAAAGTCACAAACAGCCCTGCTACAAATAAAGGAGGGGTCTTCTGGGTTTGGGATAGCAGGATATAAAATATGGCCAAGAATACAGCTTCATTTCAATTGCATTATAAATATAATTACCAACACAAACAAAAAGTTCCTCTAATATGTAGGAGGAGAATGAACAGCTATTAAGCCAGAGGATGTAACATCATGGGAACAGGTTTTGGGCTCTTTTCCTTGAGACTTTTTTTAAAACAATATGCAGCACAGTGATTTTAGCAAACAAGGAACTAGGCCAAATGACCTTTCCTATGTGAAGAAATTTCATATGTGTCTTATATTAAGAGATTCTAAAATGTTTAATAAGCTAAACAAAGTATCAATATATCAAACTCCCCCATTTTCATTTACTATATCTGTTTTCAATATAATGTATTTAATTGCAAATATATACTATGTAGTTTTTAATAATGGTTTTAATAGCCCAGTCTTCAATGTCTTGCTTTTCTTTTTTCAACTTTTATTTTAGATACAGAAGGTACATCTGCAGGTTTGTTACACCCTGCATATATATTGCACCCAGCTAGTGAACAGTACCCAATGGGTAGTTTTTTGACCCACATCCCTCCTACCTGCCTCTCCTCTCTAGTAAGCCATAGTGTCTATTACTCTCACGTTAATGTTCATGTGTGGCAATGTTTAGCTCCCACACGTAAGTGAGAATTTGTGGTATTTGGTTTTCTGTTCTTGTGTTAATTCACTTAGGATAATGGTCTCCAGCCCCATCCACGTTGCTGTGAAGGATATGACTTCATTCTTTTTAAGGACTGCATAGTATTCCATGGCGTATGTGTACCAGATTTTCTTTATCCAATCCACCATTGATGGGCACTGAGGCTGAGTCCATAGCTTTGCTATTGTGAATAGAGCAACAATAAACATAAATGCATATATCTTTTTGGTATAATAATCTATTTTCCTTTGGGCGTATTCCCAGTAAAAGGATTACTATGTCAAATGATAGTTCTATTTTAAATTCTTTCAGACATCTCCAAAGTACTTTCCACACTGGCTGGACTAATTTACATTCCCACCACCCATGTATAAATGTTCCCTTTTCTTCACACCCTTGCTAGTATCTGTTGTTTTTTCACTTTTAATAATAGCCATTCTAACTGGTGTGAGGTGGTATCTCACTGTGGTTTTGATTTGCATTTGTTTGATGATTAGGGAGAATGAACATTTTGCATATGTTTGTTGCCTGGTGGTATATCTTCTATTGAGAAGTATCTGTTCATATCTTTTGCTCATTTTTTAACGGAATTATTTGTTTTTTGCTTGTTGATTTGTTTAAGTTCCTTACAGATTCTGGATATTAGACCTTTGTCAGCAGCACAGTTTGAAAATATTTTCTCCCAGTCTGGAGAGAACTCCCAGTTGCAGTTGCTTGTGAGGACTTCGCCAAAAATTCTTTGCCAAGGCCAATGTCAAGAAGGGTATTTCCCAGGTTTTCTTCTAGGATTTTTAATAGTTTGAGGTCTTACATTTAAATTATTAATCCATCTCGAGTTAATTTTTGCATATGGTGAACGTATGAGTCTAGATTCAATCTTCTGCATATGGCTAGTCAGCTATCCCAGCGACATTTATTGAATAGGTGGTCCTTTCCCCATTACTTGTTTTTGTCAGCCTTGTCAAAGATAAGATGGTTATAAATGTGCAGCTTTACACTGTCTTGGAAACTATACTATGCTGTTTTGGTTACCATAGCCTTATAGTATAGTTTGAAGTCAGGTAGTGTGATGCCTCCAGCTTTATTCTTTTTGCTTAGGATTCCTTTGCCTATATGGGCTCTTTATTTAGTTCCAGATCAACTTAAAAATTTCAGTTTTACCCTGGAAGAAACCCTAGTTACTACCATTCAGGACATATGCATGGGCAAGGACTTCATGACTAAAACACCAAAAGCAATGGCAACAAAAGCCAAAATAGACAAACTAAAGAGCTTCTGCACAGCAGAAGAAACTACCATCAGAGTGAACAGGCAACCTACAGAATGGGAGAAAATTTTTGCAATAAACCCATCTGACACATGGCTAATATCTAGAATCTACAAACAACTTAAACAAATTTACAAGAAAAAATCAAACAACCCTATCAAAAAGTGGCCAAAGGATATGAACAGACACTTTTCAAAAGAAAACATTTATGCAGCCAACAGACACATGAAAAAATGCTCGTCATCACTGGCCATCAGAAAAATACAAATCAAAACCACAATGAAATATCATCTCACACCAGTTAGAATGGCGATCATTAAAAAGTCAGGAAACAACAGGTGCTGGAGAGGATGTGGAGAAATAGGAACGCTTTTACACTGTTGGTGGGAGTGTGAACTAGTTCAACCATTGTGGAAGACAGTGTGGCGATTCCTCAAGGATCTAGAACTAGAAATACCATTTGACCCAGGCATCTCATTACTGGGTATATACCCAAAGGATTATAAATCATGCTACTATAAAGACACATGAACACGTATGTTTATTGCAGCACTATTCACAATAGCAAAGACTTGGAACCAACCCAAATGTCCGTCAATGATAGACTGGATTAAGAAAATGTGGCACATATACACCATGGAATACTATGCAGCCATAAAAAAGGATGAGTTCATGTCCTTTGTAGGGACATGGATGAAGCTGGAAACCATCATTCTGAGCAAACTATCGCAAGGACAGAAAACCAAACACCACATGTTCTCGCTCATAGGTGGGAATTGAACAATGAGAACACTTGGACACAGGATGGGGAACATCACACACCGGGGCCTGTCGTGGGGTAGGGAGATGGGGGAGGGATAGCATTAGGAGAAATACCTAATGTAAATGACAAGTTAATGGGTGCAGCAAACCAACATGGCACATGTATACATATGTAACAAACCTGCACGTTGTGCACATGTACCCTAGAAATTAAAGTATAATTTTTTAAAAAAAGCAGAAAAAAAAATTCAGTTTTATCTAATTCTATGAAGAATGGCATTGGTAGTTTGATAAGACTATAATTTAATCTGTACATTGCTTTGGGAAATATCGACATTTTAACAGTATTAATTTTTCCAATCCATGAACATGAAATGTTTTTCCATTTACTTGTGTCATCTCTGATTTCTTTCAGCAGTGTTTTGTAACTCTCCTCGTAGAGATCTTTCTTCTACTTAGTTAGCTTTATTCCTAGATATTTCATTTTCTTTGTGACTATAGAAAATGGAATTATGTTATTGATTTGACTCTCAGCCTGGACATTATAGATGTATGCAAATGCTGCTGATGTTTGTACATTGATTTTGTATTCTGAAACCTTATAAAATTGTTTATCAGTTCTCGTAGCCTTTTGACAGAATCTTTAGGGTTTTCTAGGTATAGAATTGTATAGTCAGTGAAAAAAGATAGCTTGATTTTTTTCTTTTATATTTGCATGCCTTTTATTTCTTTCTCTGGCTTGATTGCTTAGGCTAGGACATCCAGTACTATGTTGAACAAGAGTGATGAGAGTGGGCACCCCTGCCTTGTTCCACTTCTCAAAGGGAATTGCTCCAGCCTTTGTTAATTCAGTATGATGTTGGGTATGGTTTTGTCATAGATGCCTATTATTTTTCTGAAGTGTATTCCTTTGATGCCTAGTCCATTTAGGATTTTTTTTATCATGAACGGATGTTGGATTTTATTGTAATTATTGAGACGATCATATGGTTTTTGCTTTTAATTCTGTTTATGTGGTGAATCACATTTATAGATTTGCATATATTAAACCAGCCTTGCATCCCCAAAATAAAGCCTACTTGATTGTGGTGTATTAACTTTTTAATTTGGTTTGCTAGTATTTTGTTGAGAATTTTTGCATCTATGTCCAGCAGGGATATTGGCCTGAAGTTTTCTTTTTCCATTGTGTCTCTGCTAGACTTTGTTATTAGTCTGATACTGGTTTTATAGAATGAGTGAGAGAGAAACTCTACTGCTCAAATTTTTGGAATATTTTCAGGAGGATTGGTACCAGTTCTTCATATGTCTGGTAAAATTCAGCTATGAGTCTATGTGGTCCAGAGCTTTTTTTGGTTGGTAGGGTTTTTTTTTTTTAATTACCAATTCTCTTTAAATCTTGACATTGGTCTATTTATGGTTTCAATCTCTTTCTTATTTGATCTTGGGATTTTGTGTGTTTCCAGGAAATTAGTCATTTTCTCTAGCTTTTCTAATTCATGTGCATAGAATTGTTAATGGTATTCTCTGAAGGTCTTCTGTATTTCTATGAGACTGGTTGTAAAGTCATCTTTTTCATTTTTAATTGTACTTATTTGGATCTTTTTTTTCTTTATCTTGCTAGCAGTCTATCAATCCTGTTTACTTTTTTGAAGAACCAACTTTTGATTTTATTTATCTTTCCTATGGATTTTTGCATCTCAGTTTCATAAAGTTCCTCTCTAATTTTAGATATTTCTTTTCTTCTGCTAGCATTAGGGCTCATTTGTCTTTTTCTCTAGTTCCTTTAGGTACAAAGTTAGTTTGTTAACTGAGATCTTTTTATCTTCCTGATGAAGACATTTAACACTATAAACTTTCTTCTTATCACTGCTTTAGCTATATCTCAGAGATTTTGTTAAGTTGTGTTCCTATTTTCATTAATTTCAAATTACTTTTAAAATTTTTGTCTTAATTTCAATATTCACTTTTCAGTTATTTAGGAGGAAGTTGCTTAATGTTCATGAGTGTGTATAGTTTTGAGAAATTTTCTGTGGTTAATGAGTGTGCTTGGTATAATTTCAATATTTTTGAATTAATTGAGACTTGTTTGATGAGCAAACATTTGGTTAGAATATATTGCATGTGCAGATGAGAAGAACGTATACTCTGTGGTTGTTGGGTGGAGTGTTTTATACATGTCTATTAGGTCCAATTGATCAAGTGTCAAGTTTAAGTTCAGAGTTTCTTTGTTAGTTTTCTAACACAATGATCTCTCTAATGCTGCTGTCAGTGGGGTGTTGAAGCTGCTACTATTATTGTGTGGTTGTCTATAGATGTGTGTGTGTGTGTGCGTGTGTGTGTATGTTTTCTTCTTGTTAAACCATATCTTTTGTCATTATGTAATCCTTTTTCCTTCTTATTTTTTATTGATTTAAAATCTGTTTTATCTGATATAAGAATAGCAACTTCTGCTCTTTTGTGTTTTCCATTCGTATGGTAAATCTTATTCCATCTCTTTCCTTTGAGTCTGTGGGTGTTACTGCATGTGAGGTAGATCTCTTGAAGACAGAAGATGGTTGGGTCTTATCTTTTTATCCAGCTTGGCACTCTATGTCTTTTAAGAGGGACATTTAGCCCATTTACATTCAGGGTTAGTATTGATATGTGAGATTTGATCCTGCCATCACCTTGTTATCTGGTTGTTATGCAGATTTGATTATGTGATTGCTTTGTAGTGCTGTGCGCTATGTGCTTAAGTGCGGTTTTGTAACTGGTGCCATTCTTTTTGTTCCTTGTTTAGCACTCCCTTAAGTACCTCTTGTAAGACTGGTCTAGTTAAAATGTATTCTCTCAGCATTTGCTTGTCTGAGAAAAATTTTATTTCTCCTTCACTTATGAAGCTTTGTTTGGTGAGATATTAAATTCTTGGTGAATTTCTTTTATTTAAGGATGCTGAAAATAGGCCCACAAAATCTTTGACTTGTAAGGTTTCTGCTGAAATGTCTGATGTTATCCTGAGTGAGTTTACTGTTCTCTCTAGCTGCCTTTAAGATTTTTTTTCTTTTGCATTGGCCTAAGTAAATTTGATGACTATGTACCTTGGGGATAGTTATCTTGTTTAGTATCTAGCTGAGGCTTCCCGTATTTCTTGGATTTGCATGTCAACCTCTCTAGTGAGATTAGGAAAATTTTCATGGACTATATCCTCAAATATATTTTCCAAGTTGTTCATTGTCTCTTTTCCTCAGGAATGCCAAAGAATTGTAGATTTGGTGTCATTATATAATCTCATATTTCCCAGAGGTTTTGTTATTTTTTTTTAATTCTTTTTTTCTTTGTTTTTGTCTGACTGGGTTGATTCAAAGAACCAGCCTTCAAACTCACAGATTCTTCCTCAGCTTCATCTATTCTACTGTTAACACTTCCAATTGTGTAATGAAATCCTTATAGTGAATTTTTTAGCTCTAGAAGTTCAGTTTGGTTTTTTCTTAAAGTGGCTATTTTGTCTTTTAGCTCTTGGATCAATTTATTAGACTCCTTGAATTCCTTGGATTGGGTTTTAATTTCTTCCGAATCTCGGTGAGTTTCCTTGCCATTCAGATTTGGAATCCTATGTCTGTCATTTCATACATTTCCTACGGGTTAAGAACCATTACTGGGGAGCTAGTGGACTCATTTTGAAACAAAGTAACACTCTGACTTAGTGAATTGCCAGAGTTCTTGGGCTGGTTCTTTCTCATCTGGGAGGATTGATGTTAACTGTGGTGTAATTTGAGTATAGTCAGTTGGCTTCATTTCTGAATGTTTTCAGAAGGCCAAGTCTCTGTGTAAGGTATTTATTTTTGGCTGAATTATTGCCCTTGGTTTCACAGAAGAGTATATTAGCCAAGTATTTTTTTTGTGTTGTAGTTTGGGCTGTAATCCAGGAGATGGCGCTTAAGAGTAATGGCCAATGGATAAACTCAGCCACAGGGGTCCTTTATATTTCCTCGGAGTTTGCCAGCTGTGCTCTGTGATGCAGCTGCTAGAGAGGTGACCCCCTCGCCTGGTCTGCTCCTGGGCATTGGGGGAGGCCCCCTCCAGTCACTTGCACTGGGCCCATGTTTCTTTTGTTAGGTAGTCTGGGCTGCAGGGTTCCCTTGGGCAGAGGGCAAAGCAGAGAGATAGGCCACACCTTTTCCAGGCCAGCTCACAGGACGGAGTGATGCTCAGCCTCCCCAGCAGCCCAGGAACCCTTATGACTCACCCACTCAGTGCTCTGAGAGTGTGAGTTCCCCTCCTGCTTGACTGCTGGCCGCAGATCTTGGCTTGGCACTCCTGAGCTGTACACCATAGCCATGGGGCGAGCTCAGGCTTTTTGTTCCCTCTCCATCTTGGGGACAGAAGAGACTGTGGCAGCAGCAATACAGAGGGCCTGTCAGTTGCTTCTGGGAGCTCCATCCCTGAAACTCAGAGCCATGGCTGATGGGAGCGATCAGCCACAAGAAATAAGGCAGCTGTGCTGCAGGCCCAAGCTGGAGGGACCTTGCCTGGTGAAGACATCACTGCCTGGTGTCTTTGCAGATAAGACAGTCTGGCCTACCCTCTGTCTTGCTGAAGGGCAGCTACATGAGCTGCAGCACTGGAAAGCAATCAGCCTCTTTGTTCCCTCTCTAGCCTGGGGGAAGCAAGGGCAGGTACCGCTATGGCAGCAATGGCAGAGAGCCTGTCAGATGACTCCCTGAACCCCACCCCAGAGAAGTGCAGAGTCATTGCCAACTGAAGTGATCAGGGACGGGTGGATTGGCTGAGCTGGGGGCCCAAGCCAGGAAGCCCTGCCAAGTCAGGAGTAGCAGGGGCAGAGACCCACATGGAAAACAGTCTGGCAGCTTTTCAGTATGGCAGCTGCGGGGCGCTGGAGTCCTGTAACAATTCTTGGGCTTTTCACTCCCTCCCCAGCCTGAGGGAAGGTGGGGCAGGAACCCTGACAGCAACAATCACTGAGGGTCTGTTGGTTACTTCTGGTAGCTCTATCCCAGAGAAATTCAGGGCTGCAACAGACCAGAGTGCTCAGGCCGGGAGGGGAGGCCTGCACTAGGGACCCAGGGGCCTGTGGTTCTTGCTGGGTGAGGCACAGTGGGGGTGGGGCCTACAGTCCATTCACTTCTCAGCGCCATAGATGAAGCCCCTATCCTAGGGGCACACGAGAGAGCCTGATCTCCTTTACTGGTGTGGTTACAGCAACTGGTGCCAGGGTGCTCAGGGATCCAAGGCCTGGGGGGCCCATATGGGGCTGAGTGGTGACTCTGCTCAGACTCCAGCGATCTCTCTATGTCAGTCTGGAGTCCCAGGGATTTGAGGGGAATCTCCTTTGCCCAGAGTTGAAAAGGACCATGGCAGAAGTGTGGGTCCCCAGGGGCTCTTACTCACTCAGCCATTTTCTGGTTCCATGCCAATCCCTAGTGGGCAGCAGTCCTGCCTTGCTCCTCTCTGCTCTCTGTGGGTAGTCATTAGTTTCTTGATGTATTACTCCATTCTCAAGCTGCTATAAAGAACTGACTAAGACTGTGTAATTTATAAAGGAAAGAGGTTTAATAGGCTCAGTTCCACAGGTCTGGGGAGGCCTCAGGAAACTTACAGTCATGGCAGAAGGGAAAGCAAACACATCCTTCTTCACATGGTGGCAGGAAGAAGAATGAGTGTCCAGCAAAGGAGAAAACCCCTATGGAACCATCAGATCCCATGAAAACTAACCGACTATCACGAGAAGAGGATGGGGAAACTGCCCCCATGATTCAACGATATCCACCTGGTCCCTCCCACAACACGTGGGGATTATGGGAACCACAATTCAAGATGAGATTTGCGTGGGTACACAGCCAAACCATATCACTTGACGAATCCAAACGTGGCGTCCTGGACAATCCACGTGAAGAGCTAGTGTTTACTTGCCACTTTGTCTCCTCTCCCTGAGAGCAGCACAAGCGAGTCGCTCCTAGTCTGCCATCTTGGCACCTCCCCCTGCCCTTCTGACTTCAAATTCCACACTGAGTCATTCCTACCTTGGATAGTTTACATGGGTACCTATCTCCACCCAGAAGCTGTCCATGAGACTTTTGATTATTCAAATTCTATTTTTCATACAACAAAGTCGTTGTCTCATCTTTTCCATTGTTTTTAATTGTGATAGAAAACTCACAAAATAAAATTTATCATCTCAAGAATTCCTAAGTGTACAGTTTAGTAGTGTTAAATATATTCACATTATTGGTATTGAATCCCGAAAACATTTATCCTTGCAAAACTGAAACTCTGTATCTATTAGACAACATCTTCCCTTTCCCCTCCTTTTCTCTGCCCCTGGAAACCACCATTCTACTTTGTTTCTATGAATTTTACCACTCTAGGAACCTCATTTAAGAGGACTCTTACGGCATTTGTCTTTTAGTGACCAGTTTATTCCACTAAGCACATCATCCTTGAGGTTCATCTGTGTTGTAGCATGTGCCAGGACTTCCTGACTTTGTAAAGCTGAATAATACAGCGTTGCATGAATGCACCACATTTTCTTCATCCCCTTATCTATTGATGGACACTTGAGTTGCTTCCACCTTTTGGCTGTAATGATTGCTGCTATAAATATGATGTGTAATCACTCATTTTTTCAGATGGAAACAGAGGCTCAGTAATGTGGATTAAATAGCTTGCCTGGTTCCAATAGCTGCAAGTGGCAGGACGTGGGCTTTGTATTAGTCTGTTCTCATACTGCTAATAAAGACATACCTGAGACTGGGTAATTTATAAAGGAAAGAGGTTTAATGGATTCACAGTTCCACCTGTCTGAGGAGGCGTCACAATCATAGCAGAAGGCAAAGAAGAAGCAAGTCACATCTTACATGGCAGCAGGCAAGGAGAAGTGCCAAGCAAAAGAAGGAAAAGCCCATCAGATCTCATGAGATGTCACTCACTATCATGAGAACAGCAGTATGGGGGTAACTGCCACCATGATTCAATTACCTCCCACCAGATCCCTCCCACAACGTGTGGGAATTATGGGAACTACAATTCAAGATGAGATTTGGGTGAGGGTACAGCCAAACCATATCAGGCTTCCATCCAGTTGCTTTAGTCCAAAGGCCATTCTCGTTTAATTCATTGAATCAATATGACTTTTTTGAACATCTATTACAGCTAGCCCCTATGGGAGAGGCTGGGGGCAAGGAAGTGAATAAAACAGACACAATCCTTCAATCCTTGGCCTCTTGATGTTTACATTCTACTGAGGGAGACATACAATAGAGTGGCAAACAAAATCACAGATTGTGATAAGTTCTATGAAGAAAAGATGACATGGCTACAGGGGAGGGTAACTGAGGAGCAGGGGTCTTCTTTGTAAGCCACGCCAATGGCACAGCCCTTAAACAGAGGACCCCTGAAGGAAAAGAAGGAGCCAGGCATAAGAGAAGTTGGAAGAGTCTTCCAGGCAGAAGAAGAAGCAAGGCATGAGCCTGGGATGGGAACAGGTTTGGCTTAACCGAGGAATGCACATAACACTCGTGTACCTGGACTATACATATAATTACACACTGAAGATAAATAGGGAGACTCATGTACCTGGAGTATACTGAACCAGAATATGATTACACACTGAAGATATATAGGCAGACAGGTGTTAAGCCATACAGGGACTCTACTGTGGATTTTATTCTAAGAGCAACAGGAAGCATTTGAAGGATTTGAAGGAGAAGAGTGCAGTAATCTGACTCGCATTTAGCAATCTGACTCTATTACAGTATTATTAATTATAGTCACTAATATTTATTGTGTACTTAGTCTATATCAGGCATGGGTTTAAGCTTATATTAACTTATTAATTCTTACAACACCTCTAAGAATCTATTATTTTCTGAGACACAGAGAGGTTAAACAATTTTTCCAAAGTCACACAGCTTAAAAGAAATAAAAGTAAGGCCTGAACCTTTGACATTTGATTTGAATAACTACCACTTTGAGAAGACACAAAGTCAGTGGTCAGTGAAGTGTTTTGATGCAAAATCTGTTTAGGTTTAGATTTTCTTTTGTTTATTCTCCACAGGCCTAGGGCACAGGGCCTTCTAGACAATAAAGATGGAATACCATCACATATTTTAAAATACTTTCTTTCTTTCTTTCTTTTTTTTTTTTTTTCTTGAGAAGGAGTCTCGCTCTCTCGCCCAGGCTGGAGTACAGTGGAATGAACTCAGCTCACTGCAACCTCCGCCTCCTGGGTTCAAGCCATTCTCCTGCCTCAGCCTCCCAAGTAGCTGAGATTACAGGTGCCTGCCACCTTACACAGTTAATTTTGTATTTAGTAGAGAGGGGGTTTCACCATGTTGGCCAGGCTGGTCTTGAACTCCTGATCTCAAATGATCTGCCTGCCTCGGCCTTCCAAAGTGCTGGGATTACAGGGATGAGCCACTGCACCCCGCCATAAAATACTTTCTAGTTTGCAAAGTTCATTATTGTGTTTAATCTTCTCAACAGCCCTATGAGATAACAGATATAAAGTGACTCTCACAGCTCTAACTGTTGGAGCACAGGAGAGAATGCCTCTTCCTCAGACCGGACTCTTCCCTCCACGTGGCAGCAGATCTGCTAAGGTCAAACTCTGGTTTTCTTCCCCGTGTCTCACTCATTGCATTTTTGTGGAAGTCAGGAGACATTTTATTGGCATGTGTACAAGGAGAAACTCAAGCTTACTTAACTCATGCATTTCATTTATTTATTGTTATTTGTCGAGATAGAGTCTCACTCTGTTGCCCAGGCTGGAGTGCAGTGGCGTGATCACGGCTCACTGCAGCTTCGATCTCCTGGGCTCAAGAGATCCTCCGACCTCAGCCTCCCAAATAGCTGGGACTACAGGCACATGCCACCATGCCTAGCTAATTTTTTTTTTTTTTTTTGCATTTTTTGTAGAAACATGATTTAGCCATGTTGCTGAGGCTGGTCTCGAACTCCTGGGCAGAAGCAATTATCCCACTTTGGCCTCTCAAAGCGCATTTTTCTCTCCCCTTCTTCTTGGCAACTGGCTGGCAACAGATAGCTGGAGACTTCAGTTGCTTTCAGCCATGCAGAAAATTTGGCAATAGAGGCCAGAAGAAGGCCGCCCAGTCCAGGAGTCTGCTAACCGGGGCAATGGATCTGACTTTGAAGCTTAACTATCTCCAGCCTTCCTCCGGTAAAGGGAATATTTTCACACTCTCATTCTAATCTGGACTTTTTTTTCTTACTTCTCAATTGGTTTAGAACTCAGACAGGGAAAAGAGGCATTACATCTGCTGCCCTCCTAACCCAAACACTAGACATATAATGGTGACTCAATAACTTGTGGGTCAGTTCCATTTTTCAGATGTCCAAAGACCTACATCAAGTCACATATCCCAACAATGAGTTGAGATTGCAGCGCATACCTGTCCTCTGCGGCCCAGGGACTTAATGAATCAGTGAATGAACAGACATGTGTAGAGCTCTTGGCTTATCAGAGACCCATCAGTGCCCACCACAACAGCACATGTCTCAAACGGTTTCTCGGAGAACGCTCTCACCTCCAAGCTGTGAGGTTTTCAGCAAGGCAGTGGTGCCTCTTACTCATGACGCCAATAAGGCAGGTGCCTGGCTCCGGGGACATTTCTTTCAGCTTGTCTAGCCAGGAGCCATACTGACTTCAGGCATCACTAGCCATGTGCCGAATCTGCCATCAATAATTCAGGTAGCTGAGAAGCTGTCTGCTGCTCTGCAAAAACACTGCTCATTCTGCACTCACAGCACCACAGTCATGTTGAGGCAACTGCTTCCTTGTCAGGTGGGAGCAGACAGTAAAAACAACGAATGACATTTTCCCTCGTGCAAGAAATAAGTAAAAATAAACACTCTCAATGGTAGATGACATCAGATCACACAGTAACATTATCCAAAGGTCAGAAGGTGGAGCCAAATGTCAAATGCTGCAAGGAACGATTCCTTTTCTGACGTGGGTACCTGTGGTCTCCCCTGATGCCTAATATACTACCAACCACTTGATTGCCCATAGAAAAGATCACAGCCTTAGGAAAATCTTTCTTCGGCTTCATCTCTTGACATTGTATTTTCTTTCTTCTCTTTTGTAACACAAGAAGTGGAAAAAAGGTTTCATTTTCTTATGAAACTAATATTTGGGTACCGGTTAAAATATCTGCTTTTACCATTAATAAGAAGCAGAAGTCTGAAATGTTATCCAATTACATTTTTTAAGTTGTTATTGGAAGAATAAAGTGAGATAAAAGATTAGGATTGTGATTATAGTCTACTTCTAGAATAATTATGAAAAAAGCAACAGCATGAACATGTTGTTTGGCTAGTATTCACTCGTCTTTCTTCAGCATAGATCAAGTGATGCTATTTTCCACCTTATAATGTGTGATAACTATCGATTTTATAAGATGTACTGAAGTCATTGTTCACAATGTCTTAAACCTTCTCAAATTTGTATTTTGTTGCCACCACCTTGGACAAAAATCCTAGTAGTCTATCCTTTAATAATCTTCAGAATGTGACATATAAGAATTTTTTTTAAAATGTGATTTCAGGCCACAAACAGTGGCTTATACCTATAATCCCAGCACCTTGGGAAACTGAGGCAGATGGATCACTTGACCCCAGGAGTTTGAGACCAGCCTGGGCAACACAGAAAAAACTTGTCTCTACAAAAAAATACTAGAATTAGCTAAGTGTGGTGGTGAGTGCTGGTAGTCCCAGCTACTCGGGAGGCCAAGGCAGAAGGATCACTTGACCCCAGGAGGTTGAGGCTGCAGTGAGCAGTGATGGCACCACTGCACTCCAGCCAGGGTAAAAGAGTAAGCCCCTATAAAAACAAAAACAAAAACAAAACCAAAAAAAAACTGACTTCAATTTAGCATTCTAGATTCATTTTCCAGAATACTTCCCCCTATCTCTATCTTCTTCCCTATGTGACATCCTCAAAGCAGGAAATGTATTTGGTTGGTTTTGCTGCCCAAAGTAGTGTCTAGTAGGCCTTGGGCCACCAGACAGCAGCCTTCACGTCCATTTCACCGTAAATTTCACTGCACACACATTGACCTTTCTTCCTTTCCTGTTCGCAGGCATCTCTGATAGTGGAGTACCACCTGAACATCAGATCTGCCTAGGGTCCAGAAACAATGGTGTTTTCTTCATCTTTTGCGGCCGAAAAAGAATCACCAGGTAGCAATGACTTAGCATAATAGCAGTCATTAGTTTTGTTTATGAATCTGGAGTTTACTGAGCCAAGCTAGGAAGTTCTCACATGGAGTCAGTCATGAAGATGAAAGCAAGTGGTGTCTGGGCTCCCAGCTGTCTTTACTCACACGCATGGACAGTAACACCTGGGGCTCCTCAGGTCTCTCTCTCTCTGTGTACATAGGGGTCTTAGGGTGGCTCCCAGAGAGAAATCTGCAGGGGCCACGTGACGTCTCTTAACCTGGCAGGGGAAGTCACCTGGTATCATTTCTGCCACATTCTTTAAGTCAAGGAAATCCCAAAGCCTGCCCAGGTTCATGAGGAGAGGACATAGATATCACCTCTTGATAGAATGTGTGTCAATGAATGTGTAGACGTAGTTTAAAGCCACCACATATGGTTAGCCATTTACTAAATACCTTCTATGTCTAGATGCTACATTAAACCATGTCATAATCTTATTTGATTCTTTTAGCAACCCCATTGGAAAGGCTGTTTACCCATTTTGGAGAGAGAAAAAGACTTAAAAAGCAGAGTGCTTATATAGCTTCACAGAGCTAAGACGTGTACGTCCCAGTCAAAGCCAGGCTCATCACTATACGATCAGCTTCTTCCCTGCAGCCTCACCAAGCCTAGCATATTGTGGGCTCACTCTCTATATATCTGGCTAATGAATGAGTGAAAGTGTAAATATGGGTTTCAAATTCTGTACTCTTAAGCATTCGATATTACTTCAAAAAACTTAAAATATTACAAACTCCTCTCTTGTGCTCCAGACTGTGTTTTTGTATTTCCAACTGCTGACCCAGGTCTTTTATTTATTCATTTCTTCATACAAGTATATCTCCAGCATAGATTTGTCTTAGATTTACAATGGTCCAGACACTTTGCCAGGTGCTAAGGACAACCCCAAGTGGTCCTTGTCATTATGGAGTTTACATTGAAGAATGGAGGACGGCATTGAAAAAGACATGATCTTCTGAATTAATGAGTTATAGTTGTGATAAATACCACAAACGGTCATCTTGGGATTGTGATCCAAATAGAATTGTTCCCTGATATTAATGGCACTGTTGCTGGGAGTTTCATTATTACAAAGGCTAGCAGATGTGACAGACTAGCTGACGGATTCACCTGTGCTGTGTTACCAGACTCCAGTCAGCTGGGGTTGACCAGGCCCCTTGAGCATTAAGGTTTGCCTCTGGGTGCCTGCTCTATGGTCATTTCATTACTATAATGTGATTATAATGTCATGTTTAACATATCTAATTGATTGATTATTAAAACATGGCTTCTCAACATTGGCACTAGGGACATTTGGGCAAAATAATTATTTGCCACAGAGACTGTCCTATGCATAGTAGGATGTTTAGCCATGTCCTAGACCTCTACACACCAAATGCCAGAACCACGCACTCCTCTAGCAGCCCAAAATGTCCTCAAGCATTTTCAAATGTCCTCTTGTGGACAAATCTGCTCCCAGTGAGGACCAGTGAGTTACAGCAAATAGGTGAAAATTCATGAGTTTCTATTTGTTAGCCGTGAGCCCTTAGACAAGTCGTTTAACCTCCCAAGGCTTAATGATAATGATATCATTTATAAAACAAGAATATGCATAGTGAGCTGCTCACAAGGTTTTTGTAAGAATTGTAATAATGTTAGCTAACATTTTTAAATGCTTTGTGTTGGCCCATTCTCCTGCTGCTATGAAGAAATACCCAAGACAGGGTAATTTATAAAGAAAAGAGATTTAATTGACTCACAGTTTCCCACAGCTGGGGGTGCCTCAGGAAACTTACAATCATGGCAGAAGGCACCTCTTCATAGAGCGGCAAGAGAGAGAATTAATGCAAGCAGGGGAAATGCTAGACACTTATAAAACTATCAGATCTCATAAGAGCTCCTCTCTATCACAAGAACAGCATGGGGGAAACCGCACCCATGATTCAATTACCTCCCACCACATCCCTCCCATGACACATGGGTATTACGGGGAGTACAATTCAAGATGAGATTTGGGTGGGGACACAGCCAAACTATGTCATACTTGTTATATTCTAGACACTATTTCAAGTATCTCCATGTATTAACTCCTTGAATACCCACAAAATTCTCTTGAGGTATGATTATTTATTTCCATTTTATATATAAAGAAACTTAGAAAACAAGGAATATACCCAAGGCCACAGAGGTGCTCTGTGCAACAGATGGAAAGTGAACTCAGGAAGTCTGACTCTAGAATTCAAACACTGTACCCCATTTTTCTGTGATTTGTAATGTGCTTTGGAGAGAGGACCTATTCTTTCTAGATACAATGTGCAATATTACCAGCTTATTCCCAATGGCCACGGGTTGCCTCACGAATAAATCCACAAGAGCTACAAAAGTATTTTTAGAAGATAAAGTGACATATGGCTTTAGTAAAAAAAACTAACAATAAAATAATAAATAATATGTTCTCTATTCTTGGCACCATGTTAAGCATTGAAAATACAGACATGAACAACGGGCAAGACCTGTTCTCAAGCTTCTCAAATTTCCTACTCTAATTTAGAAGGACCAACCTCTTCCTGTTACATTGCAGGGGCACTGGAGGACTGTGAACGCCAAAGGTAAATATGTGTCCTGAGGCTGTTTGGTCAGAGGGAGTGAGTAAATGCACGTGGCCACTGAGTGGCATGAGGACTGTCCGCAGCTTCTGAGAAAGGGTTGGAAGAAAGGGAACCTGGAGACAAGAAGATCAGTTAAAGAAGCTGCTGTAGTATTTGTATTAGTCTGTTTTCACACTGCTATAAAGAACTGGTCCAGACTGGGTAATTTATAAAGGAAAGAGGTTTAATTGGCTCACAGTTCTGCAGGGCTGGGGAGGTTTAAGGAAGCTTACAATCATGGTGGAAGACAAAGGGGAAGGAAGCACCTCCTTCACAAGATGGCAGGAAGGAGAATGAACACAGGAAGAACTACGAAACACTTATAAAACCATTAGATCTCATGAGAACGCACTCACTATTATGAGGACAGCAATGGGGTAAACCACCCCCATGATTCAGTCATCTCCACCTGGTCTCTCCCTTGACATGTGGGGGATCATGGGGGTTATGGGGATAAACAATTCAAGATGAGATTTTTGGTGGGGACACAGCCAAACCTTATCAGTATCCCGGCGAGGAAGGGAAGCCTCAATTGAGGCTCTCACAGTAGGAATACAAAGCCATTTGCATGTTTCCAAGGACAGATGAAGCAGAACAGAGATCTGAACACAGGCTGATTCCACAAAGCAGAAGACCTTGCAAGCTACGTGATTTTGGAAAGTTAAACAATATTTCCAAGTTTCAGTTTCCTCATTACAAAAGAGTGATAATAGTGCTAACATATCCAGATGCCATAAAGATTAAATAGGACCAAACCAGAGACTGCATGTAACACAAGACATTTGTGAATTCCCCAATTAATGTTAGGTACTGTTAAAATTACCGTAAAGCACTGGGCACAGAATGGGCCTGAAAAATTTGCAGCTTTTTCTTACCCAGCACTCTTTCCAATGCTTCCAGTCTCTCCCTCACTTCCCTGAGGACAATGTTATTGTGAACACTCACCTAATAAAGATGCACAGAAACCTCTTTTTATAGACTGAATCAATGCAAAGCAAAACAAAACCCAAAAAGGCAATGTAATTCTCTTTCGTGTTTTGCAAGTTCCATTGGGATTTCCTTTCCGAACGAAGACATTCTATTTCTGTTCCAGGAAATAAAGATACTGGAAATAAGAACGTTCCCCCTTAAGATTCGCTATTCAGTAGCTCAGCAGTTTTTCCGTTTTATTTTCTCATTTTCCCATATATCATCTGACTTACATTCACTCTCCGATGTTCTCTTGCCAAGAATAGTTGAATACATTTAAAGAGGAAAAAATAGCCATTCAAACAAACGCATCCAAACCTAATAAATACTGTTTGTTCCTTCAACTCATTCACTCAGCAAAAAATTACTGTGCACCTACTATGTGCCTAGTTTTGTTCTAGCCACTAAGAAAACAGATTTATATTAAAAAAGAAAAAAAAGGAAAGAAAGGTGTCTGCTATCACAGAGCTTTCACTCCACTGGTGGTGGGGATCAGTGAGGGGAATAAACATAGGTGATACCATTTAGGTAATAATTAAGGTGATCAATGGAATGCAAAGGATAGCAAATTTGGAGACGCAGTGCTTTGTAAGACAGAGAAGGCCAGGAAAGGTCTCTCCACAGAGGTGGTATTTGAGCTAAACTTTTTTGATGGTATTAAAAAGCAAGCCATGGGAAGTTCTGGGAACGGCATGCCTGGTGTAGAGACAGCAGGTGAAGCTCGTGTGCTGAGAAACTGCAGAAGGTCTCTGGCTGGAGTATAGCTGGAGCAAAAAGGGAAAGAGAAACGAGGTAGGGGTGACCTTGGAGAGAGGGCAGAGGGCAGGTCACATGAAATCTCCTAAGTTTTGGTAGGAACTTTGGATTCTTATTCTAAAAGAGGTTAATGGGGCTTTAAAGAAGAGCCATAGAAGGTGTTGAGGGTATAGACTCATCAGGTTTACATCTGATATGATCAGACTGGCTGGTGTGTAGAGAAGAGAAGCAAGGCAGAGAGGACAGGCTGGAGGCCATTGTACTAGATGCTGATGTGAGCCAGAGATGATGGTGTCCAGATTGGGGCAGCTGTAGAAAAGATGGTAAGAGGTGCTTAGATGTGGGACCACTGGGTGGCAGAGTCCCAGGATTTGCGGACAGACTGTAGGTATCTTGTGAAAGAAATGGAGCAGTAAATATGACCACCAAATGTTTTTGCCTGAGCAGTTGTGGGGAGGGTGGTGTCATTTTCTGAAATGAGAGAGATTAAAGGAGGAGCAGGTTTCAGGGTGCAGAGGTGCAACTTGCAACTCGCAACTCAAGCTGTTTGTTGTAAACAGGTTGAGAGGGCAGACTATTAGACATCCTAAAAAGATCCTACAGAACCACTCACTAAGTGGGTTCATATGTGGATGGATCAGCAGAGATGTTAAATATCCAACCTCTGCTAAATCATTTACCAAGTGAGGATTTGCTAACCTTAACCACCTGACCTGCACCTAGCACAGTGCTAACAGGAACTTGGGGAAGAAAAAAACTGAATAAAACACAGCCCCTGCCTTCAAGGTGTTTACAGTGGAGAAAAGACACAGAAATCAATTAGTGATGAACATAATTGAATGAGTTTTTAAAAAGAAGTTTGAAAGTACATGTGCCAAGAAAGAACAGGAGGTAAGTGACAGAGTGACCATTTTGCAAGACTCTGAAAGGGGATAGAAGAAGCTGAGTTGGCTGTTACAAAATGAATTGGAGTTCACAGGTTGGGAAAACAGAGGAAGATGAAAGAGAACACTCAGAAGTCAATGTAGGTATGGAAAGGCTGGTGCTGGATACTCCACATAGTCCTGTATGTGTGGTGAAGAAGACCAAAAGATTGGTTTAAGACAAGATTTGAAAACTGCAGAGGCCCAAATATATGAAGTCTGCAGAAGGAGCCTGTATTAGTGAGGGTTCTCTAGAGAAACCAGAATGAAATATAAATATGTATGTCTAAGTAGTTATTATAAGGCATTTACTTACATGATTATGGAAGCTGGGAAGTCCAAAATCTGTAGTGTGGGCCAGCAGGCTGGAGACCCAGAAGTGCGGATGGTATAGATGAAGTCCAAAGGCCATATGCTGGAGAAGCCCCTCTTGCTCAGGAAGACCTGTGTTTTTGTTCTATGCAGGCCTCCAGCTGATTGGATGAGGCCCACTCACATTATAGAAGACAATCTGCTTTAATCAAAATTTACTGCATTCAATGTTAATCTCATCCAAAAACATCCTCCTTAAATTGACACATAAAATTAACCATCACTGAGCCCAGTGCAGGATTTGAAAAGAAACAATCAGTATCTAAAACCCAATCTTACCATGCTAGTTGAGAAAACCTGGAAAACAATTACAATACTGACTATTTATTGTGTGATGGAGACTAACCCGGAAAACTATCACAACACTGACTGTTTATTGTGTGATTGAGACTATAGGAATCATTGTATTTTAACTCATTCAATCCTTGCAGCAACCCACTAACAGAAGTATTGAGAATATCATTTTACAGAGGAGCAATCTGTACTTAATCTTTCCAAGGACAGATGAAGCAGAATTGGGATTTGAACACAGATTGATTCCAAAACCTATGCTCTTTAGCAAGACTGTGCTGTGGCTTTTTTGAGACATTTTTTATTAAACTCCCATGCTTATAAAAATTAGGCATACTAAGACCCGGTAAAAATTAAGTGGCATAAAATCAGCTGGCAAGGTAGCTGAATCTTCATAGGTGGTAAATAAATTCTAGTACCCTTTCTGTCACATAATCAGATGAGTTGTTCCATTTCATTCATTCATATATTTAACCAATAATTATTGGGTCCCAATTTTGTTACTACCATTAGTAGTAGCCTTTGAAGATTGAGATGATCTGCCTCTTATCCTCCATCAGTCATGGACTGGGTATGAGTGATATTCTGCATTGGTCATGAAATAAAATCCAAACTTCTTAATATGGCATCCAAGGCCTTTCTCACTTGAGCTCCCATTGCTATCTCTCCCTCCTCATGCTCTGCGCAGTACATGACACCTGTATTGACCACATGTGGCCACATTCCGGGCAACCAAATGGACTTGTGAGTGTTACAGAGACATCTCATGCTAAGCTGATTATCTTATTTTTCTTATTATATTTGCTGCTATATCTTTAGAGGAAGTACTATTATTTTCATTATATGGAAATTACTACTACCATTGTAATAGTAGCTCTAATTTATTCATTTAGAAATATTGTTCAGTACCTTTTGCAATTAGTAAGCTGAGAAGCCATGAAGTGCTTTGAGCAAAGGGGTGATATAATCAAGCTTATTATTCAAAAATATTATTCAGATTGTTGTATTGGAAACAGGGTGATGAGAAGACAAGTTTCAAAGCACAGATAGCAGTTAAGAAGTTTGTACAAACTACCCAGATAAGAGAAGAAGGGACCTTGGACCATGGTGAAATGAGTGGAGGTGGTGAGAAGTGGTCAGATCTGGAGCTAGTATGAAGACAGAGGAGTTTTCAGGGTAAGCTGAAAGATTAGGTGTTAAGGATGTGAGAAAGAGGAGAGCCAGAGATAATTTAAGGCTTTTGGCCTGTGTAGGCAGAAAGCTGGAGTCACCACTAGCTGAGATGGGAAGACCTGTGAAAGGCAGGTTGGACAAGCTTTTGCTTGAAATGTCTCTAGACATCCACATGGAGACCATCAGTTGAATTACTTGCACAGTAATGGAATTAAAATATACCAGACTTTGGACTGGGTACTGTGGAGATAAGTTAAAAGGTAGAGTTTTGCCTTTAACCATCTCATCGTTGACAAGAGGTATTGAAGCTGCTCTAATAGAGGCATATCCAGATTGGGATCCCAGGGACGCAGAAAAGGAACAACTGCTGAGAGCAGAATTCTTAGAGAAGCAGTGACTTGAAACAGTCTCTAAATTCATTAGAAGCCCTTATTGTGAATAAAATAGGGCTGCCACTGTTGGCTAATTAATCAAAAGAACCAGTTTAAGAGAGGATCATAAAAATAATGCATATACACTCTAAGCAGCTTATAAATATTTTAGGTTAACTTAAAACATAAAAATCTGTTGTTGTTTGCCAAGGTTCAGATGTACAGCCAAGGCCTTGATTTGAAGATGGGTTCCAGATTGATTATAGTTTGCTCCAGTCTTATTTGCATAAATCACACTCATAATGTATGGTCTTTGATTTCCAATGTGAGTTTCTTGAAAGTAGAGTAGAAATGTAAAGATGCTTGGAAAAGCAATAAGAATACCGACTCTTGAACTTTTTTTTTACTTCCTAATCCCATCTTTTACTGATTTAACTTAAATTATAAAAACTACCTTTATCAAATATTCTATCAAATCCAGTCTTTCCAAAGCATTTACATTTGTTTTCATAGAGACAACTCTCTTTGTCCTTGCACTCACATTTTGTCATTTGCGTAGTAATTAGCTAAATGAATACATATAAACAGTACAACTGAAACAAACACAAGTGCTTTTTAGGAAGCATCAAGTCTCCCCTTGGGAGCAGAAGCATGGGGATGTACTGAGAGCGACTTACCAGTTCAGAGCTGTCAAACGTACTCTATACATTATCGGAATATTTTATCAAGAATAGCTGGGACTGTTGAAGCAGCAAATGATGAAGAGAAGCTCATTTAAGAGACTGCCTGAAAAAGAGAACCTTGAAAGGCTCTGTATGCAGTCTCTCTCCACCCACGTTTCTTCCCCCACCACCACACCTATAAAGCCCTATATGGGCTACAGCCAAAGTATTCAAACTAAATGGATATATGTCTTGGAACACATCTGCTGGAAATTATTTAATTTTTCCTCTTTTGCTTCAAGGTAATATTAATAGCCAACATTGCTTGAGTGCTCATGATATACCAGGTACTATTCTTTTTTTTTTTTAATTATACTTTAAGTTCTAGGGCACATGTGCACAACGTGCAGGTTTGTTACATATGTATACATGTGCCATGTTGGTGTGCTGCACCCATTATATACCAGGTACTACTCTAACTACCTTCTATGCACTAACTCATGCTGCCCTCAGAAAACTCCATGAGATGGGTGTTGTTACTAGCTTCGTTTGTCAGGTGGGGTGGGTAAGGCTCAGAAAGGCAAAGCCAAAATTCCTTTGTGCGTCAAGGGTCCTATTTCCTGTCTCATTTCTTTGTCTACACAAATACAACACTCCAGAGCAGGGGTTGTCAAACTTTTTCTGTAAAGGGCCAGACACTAAATAGTTTCAGCTTCATGGGCCATACAGTTTTTGTTATAACTACTCAACTCTGCTCTTGCATTATGAAACAGCCGCATATACTACATAAACAAATAAATGTGGCTGTTTTCCAAAAAAACTTATTTTGAAAGTAGATGGTATGCCAGATGTGGACCATGAGCTGTAGTTCACAGACCCCTTCTCTAGATAAAGAGACTTATTCATTTCTCAAGAAAACTATATAGCACTTGGTCAGATAATTCTCTATCCCATCTTCTGAGGTTCCTGTTTAACTTTTATTATATTGTTCTATTGTTTATTTTTGTTTCATGTTAGTTAAAATAAATCCGAAAATTCTGTGGCTATCAAAGTAGAACTCTATTTCTTACTCACATAAAGTCCAAAATTGTTGTACTGGCTAAAGGCAATTCTTCTACATGTGGTGATCTGAGGACCCCGGTTCTTCCCATCTGTGGGTCTACCACCTTCAACATGTG
Organism: Homo sapiens; assembly: GCF_000001405.40. NCBI lineage: Eukaryota > Metazoa > Chordata > Mammalia > Primates > Hominidae > Homo > Homo sapiens. The sequence goes on along the minus strand of NC_000008.11, from coordinate 136,043,474 downwards.
GATTCTAAGGTCATTCTAGAAACAGAACACACTGGAAGACTGTACACAGGAAGGCTAGAGGTGTGGGGAATAGTCACGACTTCCTAAAGGAAATGTCATCTAACATGCATTTTGAAAACCAGATGGAATTTTAATAAATGACGAGGGTAGAGAGTATTCATGGCTAAAAGAAGAGCGTGAGCCAATTACATATCTGTGCAGGAGCGAGATATCTGGGCTGCAGAATAGAGAATACATAATGAGTAGTAAGAGATTGGTTTGCCCCATGAAAGGAAATAAATAGTATTTAAAAGCCAGGCTACAGAGAGTATTTTAGGTAGTCAACAATGGATAGATATCAAATAATTCAAAACTTTGTTTCAAGACTCTCTGATCCTATTAAGGACAAAAATTGTCTGGGGAGAATTTAAACAGGAAACTGTATGTAAGGAGGACCAGGGAGAGGAGAAGGGGGAAGTAGGAGAAACAATTTGGAGGTGACAATTATAATGGAGCTCCCATTACAGGTACCTAAATAAAACATTGGTACAAAAATGTGATGTAGGGGAAAGAGCATTGTACTTAAAGGCAGAAAACCTGAACTTGAGACTTATCTCCCACCATAAGTAATTGTGGCTTTGAGTTGATCACTTCTCCTTTCTGGGACCCAAAATTTTTGTTTCTCACAGAAGAGAGTCAGGGTGCAGAAAAATAGAAGCATCTTCCTGGAGTACCAGTGTTCAGGTGTTCGACAAAGATTAAAAATAAACACAAAAAATCCATCTTCAATCTCTACCACCTGGAGTCCAGAGGAAGAGTCAAACTACAAATGCAAAAAGATTCAAAAAGGGACTGGAGGCTGTCCATGAGAAACTTCTATGCATCATCACCACCTTTGGCCTGTGAGAGATTTAATAGCCTGAGAATGAGGATGAGGAAGCTCCTGGGGGAACTTCTATTTCCGCTGATAATAGCATCCGTTAATTTATTCAACTTGCTGGCCTATTTTTTCCCTATTGTCCAGAATCCATCAAATTATTCTGCCCTCTCACAAGAACTGCTGATAGCCATTGATCGATTACTTTGTTTACAGAGGCTTGCAGTGACCCAGCTTTAAAATAAAATTAAAATTAAAAAAAAAAAATCCTACAACAACTGCGCAACAGTCGGGAAATTAATTGTTTTCTTCTAAAGCATGCTGGGGGCTGAGATTAAAAAGCCTCAGTCCCCCACCCCTAAAGGATCACAACACATAAGGTGCTCCATTTACCAACAAGTAGCATTCAAACAGCTCCTACACCATTAAAACTCAATAACACTGTATATTGAACACTTATTTGTGCTAGGCTCTATGCTCAGTGTGTTCATCGCCAAAAAGTTATTCTGGGGCTTTAAAGGAAAGCCAAGCACACACTTTTCCTTGTGGCTGCTCTGGGAAACATTCCCCGCACCACTCAGCCCCGACACTGATGAGTACCTGCAGACGGTGCTTACACAAAACAGAGCAGTTTGGAAGCCATTTCGATAAACGATACTTTCCTCTCAGCAAAGGCTGAACACGCAGGTACTGTCACCTCTAAGTGCATTTAAATTGCCCAGCGTGGTCAAAGCATCATTTAAACTCTAGGAATGTTTTGCCTGATTCTGAAATGGGGAGCTATTTTAAAACACAGGTCTTATCCAGACACATAATGGAAGTGTGAGAATTTTTCTTCCCAGATCCCTCTCAAATTCTGGCCCACTCTCAAATTCCTATATCTCTCTATCCATCCCCATGTGTCTCCTAAGTCATCTCAGCCATGAGAAACATCCTAAGTGTGGGCCGTAGTCACAGAAGTACTGGGACTGAACCACCATTCAGATTTCCTGGGATTTGGAACTTCCCCAGCTATTGCAGTGGCTTTGTGCCTGAAAAAAAAAAAAGTGAATTAAATTATTGCTACCTAAAAGTGTCAAAAGCAAACTGGCACAGTAAAGGATATGAGGTCAGAAAATGAAAGGAAAGGAAGAAAAATCAATGTTTCTGACTTGTAGGAGCATGGCAGTTTTGCTATAACAAAGGGATCGGATAAATTGGACTTGAATCCCAGCTCAGCCATTTTCTAGCTATATAATCTAAGAAAAGTACCCTCACTGAATCTCCAATTCCTTGACTTGCGGTGAACACTTGTGGTGGGAAAGGTTAGCACACATATCTGTTGTGGGACTTAACTGAGACAAGGCATAAAAAATCAGCACCTGGGGCACAGAGGGAGCTCTATGCATTTTAATTCCTCATACCTACCCCTCCTCTCATTCAATGAGTCCTTTGAGTCCTTGGAAAGACTCTATTCCCTGGGCAACCCCCTTGGTCTCTGGCCATCCATTCGACAAATAAGTCCAGAGACTGTTCTATGCACCAAGTACTGAGCTTTGCACTGTGGATGCTCTAACAGTCAACATTGACTCTTGTTCTCAAAGAGATCAGAGTCTTAGTTAGGGACTAGACACAAAGACGAGTAGTTATAATAACATCAGGACAATGCTATAGATTGACAAAGGGCTTCATGGGGATACAGAAGAGGCACACACAGTCTATCCTTGGGGACTTTCATCAGGGAAAGTTTCCTAACAGGAAAAAAAAAGCACCTGAAGTGAGTCTTAATGCGTAACTATGGATTATGGCAAAGCAAAGAGGTCAAACAACAGCACAGTGTTTTCAGGGACTGATAGACGATTTGTGGTTCTGCAACATTATATGCGAGAAATGGAGTAGCCAGAGATAAAGCTGGAAAGCTACATGGGACAGAATCATGGGGGCTGTCTATTCCTGGAATCTTTAATACGAGCACGTGAGGAGCTGATGGTGATAGAAATATATAGGAAGAATCTGGAGTGGGGAAATGGAGTGTAATTTTAAAAAGCATATTCAACGTATCTATTGTTTTCATAACACAAATTTTACAGAAAGTGAAACACAAAATCTTGAGTAGTTAGTAATTTGAAGTAGAAGGAAGCTAACATTTATTGTGTGCTTACCATGTGACATGCGTTTTTCAGGATATTTATATGTATGATAAGGCTTTGTAGAAAGGGGCAGGTTAAGAAAGAGTAAAAAAACAACATTTTAGGGCATTGATAGCCTTAAAGATTTTAACCAGTCTGTATCTACATCTTTACTGGATTCCTCTAAAATCAATGAGCAAGCAAAAGTTAGAAAAAGGGAGACCCTGGACATAGGGAGACCCATCGAGAGACAATTGCAGTCACCTTGGAGGTTATTGTAAGAGCCTGAATAGTGGGGATGTGGATAAGGACGGTAAAGCTGTTAGAAAAAGCATATGTGAGGTGAAGTCAGGTGGGCATGGGGATATATGGGATGTGCAACACAAAGGAGCAACTGGAAACAGAGAAGGAACCCCAACTAGCTGGTGGGATGACTGAATGGATAGGAGAGCCACCAACTGGACTAAGGATACCTGAGGAGGCAGGAGAAGGAGGAAGATGGCAGTCAGCTCAATTTTGGATCAGTTTCTCACCCATGCAGCCTCTGGGGCTGATGCTGAATTTGACATAAACTCTTGCAAATCTATGCATAAGTCATTGAGTTTAGTCACATCATAAACCTTCCACTGACTTCTGCTCTTATGGACTTTGCTGCTCTTTGAGGCCTGGAAATTGGCCTTGGTATTACAGCTTTATATTTCACTGTGTTATGGACCTTGGCTTATAATGTTGGCAAAGGGACAGGAAGCTTGATATCCAGTCTGGGTCTATTCTATGTACAATTCTAGTTCTTTTCCACCGATTTCAACCCTAAGGTCTAAACCTGGTCTCACTTTTTTGAATTTTTTCATTCTTGTCTTTCTTTTCATTGACTGTGTAGGGTTGGTTGCAAGACATGAAGGTAACTGACTGTTACACTAGACAGAAGTGAATCAGAAATGGACAAATCCAGGAGAGAGATACATTTGGAAGTACTCTAGTAGTCTAATCTTTACCTTAGGACTAGCAAGCTCAGGACACAACATATGATCAGTACCAAAGAAAGTAAAAACAAACGAACATCAACAACAACAACAACAACAAACAGATGTGATCAAGTTCCCTTATTCCTGGTCTCTTTATGATTTTCGGACCCTGACCTTTTGTTTTCATTCTCCACCGTAATCTATGTGCTTCTTCAAATCTAATCCATGGAACTAATTATCTAGCTCTGATTTCATTTTTCCCTGTTAATTACATTTCACATTCATCCATTGCATTTCAACAATTTTCTCTGCACATAAATTGCTTGTCTAGTTCATTCCCATCCTGAAGGCCCTGTTTCTAGCTAATCCATTGTAGCCCTATAAACAAGATTCCAAGAATGTAATGGCAAACATTGGACCAATATGAAATGACTTCCAGACCCAAGGAATACAGCAGTAGGAGCTACTTGATTCAAGAAAGAAAAACTAAATCCATATGCTATTCAACGGCAAATGTGAGCTCTATTGCCCTGGTCAACAAATTGGCATAACCAATAAAGTGGCACAGAGACCTAGCAGGTCTCACTTATCCTGACCATTTTCAGTCTTCTAATTTGAGCAGGACTAACAAAAGAACAAAGCCTACAACTGTGGCCCTTATCTTCAACTCAGTGCCGGCCTCTTATTCATCAGATACTTTTAAGATAGAAAGCATTTCTCAGATAGTGGTAATACCGCAAGCTTTGGAATCACAGGGGACACAGGTGCATGTCCCGGTCGTAACACCACTGGGACTTGTGACTATGAGCAAACTGCTGAAGTGCTCTACATTGCAAATTTCTCATCTCTGAAATGGAGAAAAAGAAATACTTCACATTACTATTGTGATATGAGAGAATATACATTATATGAGAGAAATGGAGATAATTTTAAAAGTCCCAGCTTATGCCATACTGTTCTTCAAATGACCGTTTGTTCTTTGTCACTATGATGTTAAAGGAGGAAGCATCCTCATAAATGAACATTTTATGAATTAGGAAAGTAGAGAGTAATTAGAATTTGCCAGAATCAAAACTGCTAGCTTGTGTCAGAGTCTGGCTAGAGCTCAGGATATCTAATATTAATATCAATTTTAATATTAATAATTATAATAGAAGATATAAATTGAGTGCTGCATTTTAACCTTAATCATATAGTCTAATTAATTTTGAATAAGTAATATATTAACATGGTTCAGAATCAAAGTGTATAAAAATGGGTACAGTGAAAAATCTCCCTTTTCCATCCATCCTCTCTCAACATGTAACCCGTTAATGTAGTTTTCCATCTTTCCAGAGTTTCTCTATGCAGAATAAAGCCAGTGCAAGTATATTTTCTTATTTTCTTCATTTTATACGACAGATTTAATGCTAAACACATTTTATTTTTATTTTTATTTTTTTTGAGGCGGAGTCTCGCTCTGTCGCCCAGGCTGGAGTCCAGTGGCATGATCTCGGCTCACTGCAAGCTCCGCCTCCTGGGTTCACACCATTCTCCTGCCTCAGCCTCCCGAGTAGCTGGGACTACATGCTCCCACCACCACGCCCGGCTAATTTTTTGTATTTTTAGTAGAGACGGGGTTTCACGCCTGTAATCCCAGCACTTTGGGAGGCCGAGGCGGATGGATCACGAGGTCAGGAGATCGAGACCATCCTGGCTAACACAGTGCTAAACACATTTAAAAAAAAAAAATAGACTATATTTTAGAGATATTTCCAAATGAAAAATTTTCGTATTCTCTTTTACAACTTAGAATTTGATTCTATGAAAGTATCATAGTTGATTTAATCAGTGCCCTATTAATAAACATTTAGACAGTTTTCCACTGTGTGTAACAACAATGCTGGAGTGACTATTCATATATGTAAGTCATCTTACACATGAGGAATTTATACTCTAAAATAAATTCCCAGAAGTAGAATTTGTGGATAAAAAATCATATGAATTTATAATTTTGATAGATAAGGCCTTTCATCCAGGGTTCTATATTTCTACAAGCAATATATAAAAGAGTCTGTTTCCTCCACAAAACCCTTTTTTTCAACAGAGTGTATTAGCTACCTTCACTGTATTTGACAATATAATACACAAAAATAGTAACTCGATAGTTTTGACTTCTATGTGTCTATGGTGAGTGATTCTAAGCACCTTCCCATAGGTTTAAGAACCTTTCTCTGAACTCTTTATTCATATTATTTGTGTATTAAGGATTCTTTCTCTTAGTGTATAAAATGAATTGAAAGTTTTCCCTTTAGTTTCTAATTTGTATTTTTTTCACAATGCAAAACATTTGATTTTTTTTGTATTAGTGATTATTTTTCTGGATTTTGAGTCATAGTTTAAAAATTCTTTCACACTTCAGGATCATAAAGTACTTCTCCCACCTTAGCACTTTTGTATTTTCCCTTTCTTTTGCCTGGAGCATTCTTCTTTCAAATCATGTAGAGGCTCAATTTCACACCTCATTCAGGCATTGACCCAAATACCACCTTCTCCTCAAAGACCTCCATAATAATCTTGTTTAAAAGTGTGACCTGTCTCCCTAAATAGTCCCTGTTGTCTTGCTCTGCTTTATTTCTATCCATAGCAATTACTCATATTACTTATTCACAATTTATTTATTGTTTATTTTCTGTTTTTCCCACTATAAAGACTATAAGAAGTAGTGATTTTGTCTCTTTTGATCACAACTACACTCCTAGCACTTAGAAGCTCCTAACATGTGGTAGGCATTCAGTAAATATTTATTGAATAAATAAAAATTTTTTCTAACATATTTATATTTTCTCTACTTTTTATATTTAAATGTTTAATTTCTCCTAATTTTATTCTCATCTATAATGTGAGTTACAGATCCAATTTTGTAATTCTAGATAGTTAACTAATTGTCTCAACACTATTTATTGAATAATCTATATTTTCTGAGCTAATTTAAAAGGTATCCTTTGAATATACTTTTATATATTTGGAGGTTTCTCTTTATGTATATTTAGTTTACTTTTATTTAGTCCTCACAACATTCATCTCAATATGTATTGTTATTCTGATTTTATAAATGGGGAAATTGAAATTCCTTGAGAGCAATTGACTCAGATGCTAGAAAGCGATAGTATCACAACTAAATTTACCTGCCAGACTTTCAATTCAGTCTGCGCAGCCTTCAATGCAGCATCCATTTTGCAACACACAAGGCAGCCTCCATAGAATTGTATAGATAACACCTGAGCCTCAGTGTTACTCTTTATAAAAGCAAACTGTGGACTACTTTGGGTTACAAATTTACATGCGTATAAAGTAATGGAGTGTGACTAACAGGGATGCCAAAGAGGCTTAGAAAGCATAATTGTGGCTTCCTTAACACATCTAAGAAACTCATGCCCTGCTCTTTGGGGTGGTCAGAGATGTCCACCTCAGAACTGAATATTTTCTAGGTAAAAATGAAAAACCAAGCTCTCAAAAATAAAACTCAATACATTCAAATATTCATGGTCAAAGGGTTTATAATAATTTATTAGGACAAAATATTTTGTTGGAAGGATTTTTCAGGCCTTAAGGGTTTTCCCAAGAAAAAAGAGGTGGCCTCATAAGACTTTTCCTATAATGAACAGATTTCTGGGCTAAATGGCTCATATTAATAATAATGATTACATTTATTAACAGCAAGGTAGCTCATGGGGTTAATAATTTATGTGAAATGCAATATTATGGTTCATTCAAAAATACTAATGATGGTGATTTCCCTAGACATATACGAAAATCAAGACTCAAATAGGGTAAAGAACTAGCCTCTGAGGCTAATTTTATGTGTCATCTCCGCTGGGCTAAGAGATGTCCAGATAGCTGGTAAAACATTAGTTCTGAGTATGTCTGCAAGGGTGTTGCTGGAAGAGATAAGCATTTGAATCAGTAGGGGAGTAAGGAAGATCACTGTCACCAGGGCAAATAAGCATTATCTAATCCGTTGAGGACCCAGGTAGCACAAAACAGTGGAGAAAAGGGCAAATTCACTCTCTCCTTTTCAACGAACATTCATCTTCTCCTGCCCTTGGACTTTGTACCCCCATCCCTCGTTTCTCAGGTCTTGACTCAGACTGGCACTTACATGATCGAGTCTCCTAGTCCTCAAGCTTTCATGTTTGTATTGGAACTACACCAGTGGCTTTTCTAGGCCTCCAGCTTGTAGGCTGCTGATTGTGGGACTTCCTAGCCTGTGTATTCACATTAACCAATCTCTCATAACAAGTCTTCTATTTTTTTCTACACCTGTATATATCTGATTGGTTCTGTTGTCAGGAGCACCCTAACTATTACACTTGTCCTTGGTCTCCTGCCCAGTGATGGTGGATCCAGAACTCATCACAATTCTGACTTCAAACCTGTGCTTTTCCCACAACCTCCTGCTGCCTTCAACTATGTGGCTATCCTAGTTCTGCTGTGGTTGTTGAACAAATGGAAAATACGTGTTTGAGACTTTATTCTGATACCTCATATTTTTTTTTCCTTACCCTCCCTGCCTCACTTTAGTAAGCCATGAAAGGAGGGGTCTCACATTGATTTTGTATCCTGAGACTTTGCTGAAGTTGCTTATCAGCTTAAGGAGATTTTGGGCTGAGACGATGGGGTTTTCTAGATATACAATCATGTCATCTGCAAACAGGGACAATTTGACTTCCTCTTTTCCTAATTCAATACCCTTTATTTCCTTCTCCTGCCTGATTGCCCTGGCCAGAACTTCCAACACTATGTTGAATACGAGTGGTGAAAGAGGGCATCCCTGTCTCGTGCCAGTTTTCAAAGGGAATGCTTCCAGTTTTTGCCCATTCAGTATGATATTGGCTGTGGGTTTGTCATAGATAGCTCTTATTATTTTGAGATACATCCCATTAATATCTAATTTATTTAGAGTTTTTAGCATGAAGAGTTGTTGAATTTTGTCAAAGGCCTTTTCTGCATCTATTGAGATAATCATATGGTTTTTGTCGTTGGTTCTGTTTATATGCTGGATTATGTTTATTGATTTGCGTATGTTGAACCAGCCTTGCATCCCAGGGATGAAGCCCACTTCATCGTGGTGGATAAGCTTTTTGATGTGCTGCTGGATTCGGTTTGCCAGTATTTTATTGAGGATTTTTTGCATCGATGTTCATCAAGGATATTGGTCTAAAATTCTCTTTTTTTTGTTGTGTCTCTGCCAGGCTTTGGTATCAGGATGATGCTGGCCTCATAAAATGAGTTAGGGAGGATTCCCTCTTTTTCTACTGATTGGAATAGTTTCAGAAGGAATGGTACCAGCTCCTCCTTGTATCTCTGGTAGAATTCGGCTGTGAATCCATCTGGTCCTGGACTTTTTTTGGTTGGTAAGCTATTAATTATTGCCTCAATTTCAGAGCCTGTTATTGGTCTATTCAGAGATTCAACTTCTTCCTAGTTTAGTCTTGCACACCGACATGGCACATGTATACATATGTAACTAACTTGCACGTTGTGCACATGTACCCTAAAACTTAAAGTGTAATAAAAAAAAAGAAGAAAGGAGGGGTCTCCCTTTTCTTAGGTCCTTTTAGACATCCTAGAGCAACAATATCCTTCGCATCAGCTGGCACAGAAGGCATGCAGCAAATAACCACTGCTGTTTCCCCCATGATCTGTTTTGCCTTCCAGCTCCTGATTGCTTCTCATCTCACTGAAACCTGATTCTGAACACTGGCTTGGGTATTCATGGTGAGTCCTATTTGTGGACAAGTGCTTAGGACATGGGGTCTTTGAGCAATTTTCCTATGATGAATGATTTTCCTGTGATCTAAGTCTTAACTCCCATCTATCGCTTTGACTTACTCATCACAAAAGTTCACTCTAGATCCAGACTTGAGGCCACCTCCCTCGATGACCTGCCTGCAGGGTGAAAAGAGTCAAGCAGGTGGTTCCAGGACAGGTTCGCTCCACTGCCCTCCTGATTCTGCCCTCACTCACCTCTAGTCTCTGCAGATACCCTTCTACTCAAAACCTTGCAATGGCCCCTATTTCATTCAGAATAGAGGACAACCTCTGCCTGGGTTCTTCCTCAGCTCTCTGTCCCCATGTTACTTTCCCTCTCACTCTGTTCAGCCCTGCTGGCCTCCTTACTATTTCTCAGGCTGCATGCACACTTCTCCTTTGGTGTCTTGGTTCTTGCTGTTTCAAATGTTTCCTTCTTAGTGAGGCTTCCCAAGAATAAGTTATTTAAAATTGCAACCCCCTCAGCATCTCTATGCCCCTCCCTGCTTTAACTTTTTCATAACCTTTCAACACTGAATTATACACACACGCATACCTATTTTAATTATTGCTCCTCTCCCCACATTAGACTATAAATTTCATGAAAGCAGGAATTTTGTCTGTGTTGTCCACTGCTCAGGGCCTCACACAGTTTCTGGCATATATTAGGTACTCAATAAATAAGTGCTAAATAAATGAATGAACAAAACAGCAGTCTGGACAGAAAATCTAAGGACATAATAATATTCTGGCAAATTTTATAGTTTGAGACAGATAAGGAATCAATTAAATGAAGTTTTGGTACTCAGATCTTGAGTCGCAAACTTGATTTATTTGTACACGTTGTTCTGTAATGAGCTTTTAGAAAAGACTTTTACCTCCATTGCTTTGTCAGAAGAGAAAACTATGACCCCCCTACCTTAAGGAAATAGCTGTAGCTTGGGGCAAAAGACCTTCTGAAAGTGAGAACCACCCAAAATTAAGATTCCCAGAAGTGTAAATTATGCAGTTTTAAAGTACACAGAGTAGTGGCTTTGGAATCAAGGAGGCCAGAGGTCAACACTTGGCTCTGCCTGTTAATTTGTGTGTGAGGAAATCGTCGTCATTCTTTGAACTTCAATACTCTCATCAGCATGATGGCAACACTACCACTTCATGAGGGGTCCATGGATTGGTCCACGTTCACAGAAAGAGCTCAACAAAATACTGATGGTTCCAGCAGTAACAATGATACTAATACAGTCCAAATTCCCTTAGCCACAGTTTTGAAATTTAAAAGCTTTTGGTGAAACTAGCTAATGGGACAATTTAAGTTGGTCTCTTCCCATTTAGAGGCAATATCTAATGTAGCCTGGCAAGTGGCTTCTTATAAATTTTACTTATTCTGCTTGTTGCAAATATTCATAAGTTCGTGTCAACAATATTGCTGTGCTTGCTAGCCCAGATCCCTGGGAGTAAATGCAATATATGTTATATTCATTCTTTAACTTCAACATTAAAAAAATAACAATTTCAAAACGTAATCAGCCCCAAGAAACTCAGACATGTGGTTTTTAAACTTGAATTTTTGTACACAGATACAGTTAAAATTGTAAATAAAAAGGAGATGATGAAGCTCAGAGTTTGGCATCATTGTAACCGTGTATTGCAGTGGAACAAATTTCTTAGTTATAAAAATAAATGTGTTAATAGGCAGTGGATGGTCTGTGAATACGACACATTGACTACAGTCTTGCTCCCAGAGACCAAGCTGAGAATGTCTAAATTTGATCAGGTGGGGTTGGGGTGAGGCTCTAAGTAGAGGAGGATTTTAATCTAAATAGATTGGTTAGTTGAGACACAAACTAGAGGATGAATTATTGGACTTCAAGGGCAATCTTTAGATGAAAGTTAGTAGTGTTACTAAAGTATTTTTATGTGATTAGTCCTTACATGCAGCCAATCATTTTGCTCGTAAGTGATTATCTCATACATCCAAGTGTAGCAGTGGATTTGACCTTAGAAGGTCAAGAATCGGGGACTCAGAGAGGGACATGAAAACAGACTAACGCCAAACCTCATTGCTGTCTAAAAACTCAGTAGAAGGTGTGATGTAGTGTTTCCTAGATGCACTGGTAACCTAATTTGCAACAGAGAAGGATATGACAGCAGGACTGGAGCACACAGGAAAGAGGTCCATCAAAGACAAGACCATGCATAAATCAGCTCAGAAAGCAGTAAGTCTTGACTTGAATAAACATGGTTGGAGTCTAGATGACCTAGAAGTTCAGGAGGTGATACTTTTTGGGGAGAGAAAATAAGGTATTCAGATGGGTGGTGGTAAATCCCGTGACATCAGTTGAGCTTAAAACTTGAAAGCTCAGCAATTTTTTATGAGCACAATTCCCCAGGGAGGAAGAGATCAGCCACTTGATCCAGGAATACTGAGAAGTGAGTTTAGCGGGGAGACAACTTGATATATAAATATCCAAGTCAAGGATGGCCCCACTCTGGAAGCTGACGTGTAAGGAGACAGCAATGCTGTTGAACCAAAGGGTAAGTCCCAAAGAAAATCATACCACAGAAAGGCAAGTAGAAGTTTTTGAGATACAAAATTATTTTGTTATTCAAAGTCCCCCAAGCAATGGAAAGAATAAAATGTCTCTTTCCCTGCTATTGGAGGTAAGGGTGGGGGCAGCCCAGGAGATTTGTCATACCAAGTAGAAACCCTTTGAGTTTTTTTCTTCGCTCTTAGGAAAGCAGGCTGAGCTAAGACTCCTCCTTGCCCGAACTGGTCTCTTCTTTTCCTCCTTCCAGCATCATCCCCTTCACTAAGAAGACTCCTGCGTGCCTGGAGCATGCACATGTCTTTATTCTCTTGACCTCGTATTCCGGCTGGCATACGCTTTCATTGCAGCATGTTCACTCGGTGACAGAATTTTCCATGTTTCTCTGGACCACACTGTGTAGGCCTTGAGGGCAGGGGAGAAGCCATAACTTCATAACTTCATAACTTCATAACTAGGGCCTCCAATTTGGAGAGAACAGGCTCCCCAATAGAGAGTATTCCCTAAAGCCAGTGAAGTGTGGCAGCTGGTATATGTCTATTTGCATAAGTGTATTTAGGATTCTGGGTGGTTCTGCCACCCACTTTTATTTTCTAATGAATAATCAGTTCAACCTGAAGAAACATGTTTTATTATTGGGAATTTGATTAACTCTTGGATCTGTGGGTGTACGGACACTATGTGCTCGACAGTGAGGTTGAATATCAATATGGGGGCTAATTTAATTTGAATGTCTCATTTTTCTTTACTTTTTTCTCCTCAGTAATGTGCCAACAAATTGAAAGCTAATTCTGTTTCTAAAATTATCCAAGGTATGCAACAGATTTTTTTACAGGAAATACAGACAGGAGATCATCTGATTTTGCAGTGTGTTTTATATTGGGGATGATTAGACAAATGTCATGATATTCTATTACTATTTTTAAAATCTAGTTCTGTATGCTGAGTTTAGTACAGTCAATTCTTCTTTATTTTTCTCAACAGAAGTAGAAGCTGAATTGCTCAAATCTCTGAAAAACAAGTGCTTCTCTGTCCTAGGGCAAAAGCTGAAAAAAATGGTGCCTTTGTAGAAGGGGGAATCTGTCTCATGTATACCAGGGTCTGGTGTGAATCAAGAACTCAATATATATAATGATGAAAGAAAGGAAGAAACAGAGGGGTAAGGGGAGGAAGAACAGAAATACTGGCTAATATTTATTGAGTATTTATATGTGTTGACTATCTTATATTTTATTAAAACTTATTTAATCCTCACAATACACTTTGAAGTGGCTACTGAAAGACAAAGAAACTGAAACATAGGCTCATTAACTTGCTCAAAGTCCAGCACATATCCACAGGACATGATCCAATGTAAACAGAGGAGAGGTTGAAAGAATAGAGTCAAGGTCAAACCTGAACTATGCAAACTTGAGTCAGTTAACATGTCTCTTTGATCCTCAGTTTCTTTACACACAAAATGAGTTTGGTGATATCTTTGTTTCATGGATGTCCTGAGAAATAAATTGGATGATGTATCTAATGCACTGAGCATATAGCCTAGCACAAAGGAAGTGTTCAATAGGCAGTGCTATTGAGTTTGAATGGTGTGGGAGCTCTTTAGAGTGCTATTTTTAGGATTGTAGTTTTTGTTGTGGCCGGCAAACTTAAATCCTTTCAGGACAGGTGCCAGGTATAAATGAAGAATGAATGATGCTCCAACACAAAGGCTGGCAGGAGGAGGAGTGACTAAGAATTGCTTATGGCACCTTTTCTGGTGGATGGAAGATGAAGAGAAGCGGACTTCCGAGCCAGGTTGACAGCCATAAATCCCTGCTTAAATGTATCTGACAGGGCAAGAACCATAATTGCATGCTTTGTTGCTCACAACTGTTCATTATGGCTTGGACAGGCCCCCAGATCACATAAGGAGCATCCGATGTAAAACATTATTATCCTCAGTGCCTTTTTTAATAAAAGAAAAAAATGGAACACTGATATTCAAGTCTTAAGAAGTTACAAATTCCTATTTCATTTTGCCCCCTTTTTATGCTCTGGCCTTTGTGTGTCATGGAAAAGAGCTGGGAGAGAGGGTGCTCAGTACCCAAGCTGCTCACAGCCTGGCAAAACAAGTGACCTTGTAGCATGAACACAGAGCCTTTAGTCTCTTGTCCCCAAACACTGGTGGGACACCTACACCACACTCCATCTCCAAGCAAGGTCTATCTTCCCACCCGCCACCCCAGCCTAGAATGAAGACATGATAAGGTTTCAATCTGTGTCTCTGGCCCAAATCTCATGTGGAATGGTAATCTCCAATGTTGAAGGTGGAACCTGGTGGGAAGTAATTGGATCATGGAGGCAGATTTCTCATGAATGGTTTAGCACTATCCCCTTGGTGTGGTTCTCATGATGGTAAGTGAGATCTGGTCGTTTAAAAATGTGTGGCACCTCCCCTGTTGCTCCCTCTTGTTCCTCCTGTTCCCTCCACATAAGACATCTGTTCCCCCTTCACTTTCTGTCATGATTGTCAGTTTCCTGAGGCCTCCCCAGAAGTCAAGCAGATGCCAACATCATGGTTACTGTACAGCCTGCAGAACCATGAAACAAGTAAACATCTTTTCTTTTTAAATTACCCAGTCTCAGGTATTTATTTATGGCAGTATGAGAACAGACTAATATACATGGTAATGTACTCTCCAGCTGTACCTCTCACTTTGTTCCTCTCATATGATCCCATGATGGCCAGAGAGCAGCATTCAGTCATGACCTTGCGAAAGGGGTTGGTTGAATCCCTTCACTTTCAGGTGGAGGGAGAGGTTAAGTTTCTTTCCTAGCCCAGCATAACATTCCCCCAAAAGCCAGTGATGGAGTTGAGCTAGAGACTGATTCACCTGCCTGAAAGTTCAGCTGCTTCCACTCCACACATCATGGTTTCCACTCTACTCCACTGTAACATGGACTTATATTTGTTCAAATAGCATAATGTCAATAATAATAACAATGATAATGCTCCAGGCACTGTTCTAAATGCTTCACATGCAGTAACTAACTTCAAAACAAAGAAATACAATTAAGCAGTGCATTCATTTTCCAAGTAAAACAATTGAGTCACAGAGAAGTTAAAACACTTGGACTAGGTCATAGAACCAATGATCTCAGAAGTCTGGAGAGAAGTACCTCTATTTCATCCTCCTCATGTAGCAATTAGACTGAGATAACAGCTGCACAATCCCTGTGATGTGACACAACTGAAATCTCACTCACAACATACTCAACTCAGGCTTTTATGCTCCATGTTCTCTTCATCCAGGATCTCAGAGAGGTGTTGTCCAAGCCACCTCTGTCTTTCCTGATCAATGTTGCAGGATAAAGAGAGTGCTACTGTGTCTTGCACTGGAAGTCAACCCTTTTTCCCAGAAGTAACACACCAGCCCAAAATTCCATTCATCATTCCCTCACTGTTTCCTTTAATCTGTCCAGATCTCCATCTCTGCTGGTAGCAGCATTTGTTCTCCCTTGTTTGACACACAGGGATGATTCTTGTTTCCTCTTGTCCTCAGTCACTGACAAGCAATCAGAGTGTCCCATCCAGACGGTCCTCCGGTCAACCACTTCCCCTCCATCACTAAGCCCTCTGTTCTTCTTTGGGTTTTCATGATCTCTCTCCTGAAACACTGTAAATGCTTTCTGATTGCTCTCCCTGCCTCCACCCTTATATCTCAGAAAATTATTTAAAAATATGGAGTACTCAAAGCACCCCACTTCTCCCCTTCTCTGCAACTATCACTTTCATCTCTTTTTGCTGCTTATTTTGGCATTACTTCCATATTTCTAAATTATACACTTGTATTGCAATGTTTTGGTTTCTCAGCTTTAGGGAACAACTATTTAAATTTCACTATTTCGCTCTCTTTCCTTTCCAACCCAACCACAAATTTGTACCCTACCCATTCCCCACCCCACTAGAAAAGCATATATGCTGAACAGATACAGTGGTTCAATCAATATTCAACTTTCGCATTGTTATGAATATCTAAATACTATTCACCACTGACCCATATAAAAGTTAGGATTGTTGTCCTGGAGCGGTGGCTGGCGCCTGTAATCCCAGCACTTTGGGAGGCCGAGGAGGGTGGATCACGAGGTCAGGAGATTGCAACCATCCTGGCTAACACAGTGAAACCCCGTTTCTACTAAAAAAAAATACAAAAAAATTAGCTGGGCATGGTGGCGGGTGCCTGTAGTCCCAGCTACTGGGGAGGCTGAGGCAGGAGAATGGCGTGAACCCAGGAGGCGGAGCTTGCAGTGAGCAGAGATGCTGAAGTTGGAACGAGAAAGTAGTCGTCCTTTTGAGACCACGAAGCTCCTTTAACTTAGTTATATAGCATTTAGGAACCACTGAAGGATCATAAACCAAATACAACATAATAAGAGACTTTGTTGAGAAAAAATAATTCTTATTATTTCCAACTCAGTGGGTAGAAATGGCTTAATTCTGTGTCAATGAAAGTGACACAGGCTGCATTGCTGAGCCTCCCATCCAGCCAAACGTGTGCTTTTATTTTTCATTATTACTTCATCTAAAAGCTACTTTCTGCTGTCTTTGCTTTTATTAAATAGCAATGCAGCTACAGCAATACAGCTCCTGACCCTTCAAACAGTCTTTCCCAAATGGCCTTACTGATGAACATTGTTTTTGACTGAAGATCTGAAGACAGATGTTTCACAACTGCTCTAGCCCTGTCTGCTATGACAGGGTCTGTCTGCTATGACAATGGTGCATGGCTTTACTTCAGTAACCCAGGATCTCTGCTTAATTCTTTAAAAAGTAAAAATCACCCTACAATGTATTTGATTGATACTGTTAAATGTGTGTCAATCCAAGAATAAAAAATAGTTTATTTTCATTTTTTTTTTAAAGAAAATTCACAGCCTGTGTGGTCAGGCTGTCCTGCAATTTAATTCAGAAGCATGGACTGAGCCCCTGGAATTGTCAAAAACTGAAGGTTCTGAGGATGCAAAAACAAAAGAAGAGGCAAAGGACTCATTATCTCCTGTCAAGGGCAGTGGAGTGGACTTCGGCCTTCCAGGTACCTCACTGATTAAAATTCTCCCTTATGGAGCCTGTCTAGTTCAGTAGGAGAGACAGGACTAGGGTGACAGAAGCAAGTGCTTAGAAAACCCTTAGAATGAGTGCCTCCTTAAATTTTATACCCTAGGTGCCTAGCTGGCCTCACCAGCCCTAACCCTGTCCTGGAGGTGTGCGTGGTGTGAATCTGGAGAGAATGTGCCACTCTTTCCTAATCAATATCTTAACCTGCACATTCACAACCAGGCAAGTTGTGGAATTCTACCAACATTGTCATTCAAGATTAAGCTATAATTTTGATTTTTGTCACCTTAATACTACAACTGTGAGAGTGAAAAGATCATTTCATTATAGTCATAGAAAGTCCCTGGTCCTCTGACTTTGACTTAAGAAAAGAATTGACATCTGAAATTGTCAATCTTTTTCTTTAAGTGTTTCAGGACAGTTGGAAGGGGCCAGCCTGCCCTTTTCAGTCCTCATGCTGTTTATTTTTCCTGGGTTTCTTGTTTCCCTGAGCCCTGGTTTCAGTCTTTCTCACATTCCTGGTAGCCCTAGGCAATTATTTGATTGGTAAGTTTGCAGCTATATGCCATGAATTTCCAAAGTCCCCTCCTCACATTGGCTACATCCTCATTATCTTTAAGCTCAACTAGTCAAGACAACCAGTTTCACACTGCCATTGCTTTGAGGCTCTGATGCCAGAACCACTTCTGGTACCAGTTTCTCTGTCACTCAGGGTTCTTTAATGGCAATCAACAGAAACCACTGTTGCTAAGATAAGCAGAAAATAATAATAATAATACTAGTTTAGCAAAAAATATAAAGAGCTCCTGGTATCTGAGAATCAGCAAGTCACATTGAGTGGTTAACAATACTGTCCAGTGTTAAAACAACTAAAGGGCAGCTCTAGTGAATGCTCCATGGCTTCCTCTCTTGAGAAACAGTCTTTTGGTTTGTGCTACTGACTTGGGACCCCCAGAAACATCACAAATGTTGTTTCTGAAATCTGGGTCCCCTCAGCCACTACCCTCATGGCAACATGAATTCTGGGTGGTGCCTGCCCCAAGTTGGCAGTTGAGTGCATCTGATTGGCAGAGCCAAGCTCATGTGTCTTCCAGATCCTAGTTTCAAGGAAGGCTGGGAAAGTGAGTTCAGACTTACGTTTTGTAACTTATTATCACTTAGAGTTTTCTAAAGATCCTGGACTGCTACAAATATGTCCAATGTTTACTTTGGGGGAGGATTCAGATATATCCAATAGATTTTATGCCCGATTCCCTAGGCTCTAGACAACCTCAGATGAAGACACACACAGTATCTAAGAAAGAAAGTCGAGAAGCAAAAGGACAACCATTTAGTAAAACCTGTTAGTCCTCAGCACTGAATTATTTCACCATGATCTGATTTCCAGCCCATGTGGCCTCCCTATAGATCTAGAAAGTCAACAAGTTCTGACCTTGAAGGTAGTTTGATCACTCACTTTCTCCCTGTCTCAATTACATTCTTATTGTAAATTGCATAAGCAGCTTTTCTGCTTTTCTTTCTTACAGATCGTATTCCCTTTAGAAGCTAATCACTTTGGTTGACCACAGACTTGCACCCTCAGCTCCTTCCTTCTCAAATTCAATCGATATCATTGTTGGGTCACCTTAGAATAGAACAGTGGCCAGAGAAAAGAGTAGGGATACTGGACTCTAATTATACCCAGTCTACCTCATCTGATTACCACCAGCCACGTGCTCCCAGAGAACAAAGAAAACAGATGCCTATCCTCCCACCTCTTCCCAAAGCCACGAAGATCAGACTGTGGTTTTATTATGCTCATGGTCAGGCCTCAGAGCATTGTCTAATTAACAGCATGGTGTTTGAAGTTCAGGGGCAAAGAATGAAAAGAATAGGATTTAAATCCAGTACCTCTTTCTGAAAAGTAAAAACACTGAGACTTTCTTAACTGTAACATAACAATAACAATGATCTTGCCCTGCTCACCTTGCACAGTGCTCCTGAGAATCAAAAGGGATGTTGGCCATAAAAGGGTGCCTGACAGGCGCTAGAGATTATTCCTGAGCCAATTGGAAAGAATATGAGCTTTGATGTCAGATGCTTTGGGACTTAAGTCTTGATCGTTCCACTGCAATAATTCCTAGAAGTCCATGGCCCGTTTACCCAAGCTGCAATGTAGTAAATATCTGGTGTAGTGATTCCCAAACCTGATTGAACGTTAGGATCAAAACTCTGATACTCAGGTTGTAACCTCTTGGGTTTTGTCACAATCTCTGGGTACCAAGGCATCAGCATTTGTTAAAGTTTCTCACTATTTTTAGTATGCAAGTAACACTGAGAACCTGCGAATGTAAATTAGTTGCACTCTTCTCAAACTCCTTACATACCTGCATTTTAATCCCTCTACTGCCACTTTGAGTGGCTAAGGTCAAGTCACATCCTTAGTTCATTTCGTCATTTATAAAATAGGGATAATATTATCTAGTCACCCATCTTATTACTGTGAGAATCAACCTGAATGGTCTTTGCAAACACTACACTGTTATGTGGATGTTAAGGCATGTTTGTAAACCATACTTGTTGAGGATCCTAAACATTAAGAGGCCCAGAATAAAGAAGGTAGATGGTTTGACACAAATTATTCATTGCCAGGAAAGAAACGCACAAATAATCTTCTGATGAGGAATCCCACCATCTTCATGGCAGACCATAGAAGAG
The DNA here is from genome assembly GCF_000001405.40 of Homo sapiens. Classification (NCBI taxonomy): domain Eukaryota; kingdom Metazoa; phylum Chordata; class Mammalia; order Primates; family Hominidae; genus Homo; species Homo sapiens. The sequence goes on along the minus strand of NC_000008.11, from coordinate 136,023,414 downwards.
ATACGGGTTTAAATCTTGGTCTAAGAACAAATCACCATTCACAGAGACTTTCTAATGAACCAAATGACAGCTGGCTTCTTTTTTTTTTTTCTCTCCTATAAAAAGATTCATTTCTCCAAACTCCCAACAGTTTCTGTGCCCAAAAAATGAAGACAAGGAGGAGGATTCAGACTCAAGAATGACAGGCTCTTTGTTAAGAAAGGCTGTCAGGAACTTTGCAGGCCTCTGTCTTCCCTCCTGCTTGCTAATTGATTTAATAGGAGACCCTGAGACGTATTTCAGCACCATGAAGGCCTGTCCAGATGATTTTTATCACGCGACAAGAATTGATATTTTCTCTTTCTGGTTTCTTTTTAATTTCTAATGAAGGAAAAATGTGTAATGTTAAGAACAAGAGTAGTCATTCATCAGCTCAGCAAGAGCTCATGTTCAAGGTTTTCCGTCCTTCTGTTTTAATAAAATTCCCATTTCTTAGACGGATGGCTTCTGGATGGCATGTGTGGAAATAATGTCAACAGGGAGAAGCCATTTATGCCTCTACCTTATTGCTGCCTTTTAAATTCAGCCAGGGTGTGTGCCCAGATGGCCCACTGAGAAGAGAGAAGAGCAAACCACCCCATTCCCTGTCTTCCCCTGACAGCATGCCCATGCCAGTCCAGGAAGACCCCAGCTCCTCATGCCACTGTCATGAAGCCCCAGGGGTCAAGCTCAGGGCTCCTCCATCTCAGCACTATTGACATTTTGGACCAGATTATTTTTGTTGTTGTTGTGAGAGCTGTTCTGTGTGTTGTAGGATGTATAAAAGTATCTGTGGCCTCTACCCACTAAATACCAGTAGCAATTACCCTGTCACAAGTTGTGACAACCAACAAAACTTGTCTTCAGACATTGCCAAATGTCTTCTGAGCAGGAAATCACAGCCTTTCCGCGTTGAGAATCACTGGTCTACTGGGACTAGAGAACAGATTGTCATCTTTGCCCCAGCTCTGACCCATCCCGACTGTGTCACGCTACAAAAGTTTTATAATACCTCTCAGACCTTCAATGTCCCCACCCTGAATACATGTTATAAAAATTAGCATAGCAGGAGAATGGCGTGAACCCGGGAGGCGGAGCTTGCAGTGAGCCGAGATTGCGCCACTGCACTCCCGCCTGGGCCACAGAGCGAGACTCCGTCTCAAAAAAAAAAAAAAAAAAAAAAAAAAAAAAAAAAAAAAAAAAAAAAAATTTGCATAATTCCTTTGACATGTTCAGTGAATTATAATGCACAATGAAGGGGAGTGATGGTCATGATAGCAACAAAGATAACTATTGCAATGTGTTCTCTCTATGTTCTTATGAACTTCTATCAGCAGAGAGCCACCTGCAGGAAAGAAGCTTCAGCCAGACATACATGGATATCTCATACAACTGGCTGGTGCCAAGCACATGGCTGTTCAAAACCATCTTTTTCAAATGCCCATCAGCCTTGCCTGTTATCAAAGGGGTGTTTTACATGTGATTAACCTGCCAGTAGCATGATTACAGGTGAACATGTGTATGTGTGTTTATGAGTATAAATGTGGGTGTGTGTTATGACTGAGAAATGGGATTAGACACATATCATATCTGTCTATATAGCATGTGAAGGACAGGGGACTAACTTTACAGTAAATGGAATGTTTGGGTGGGGGTGGAATACGAATATGTCTGAGATATGTGGTTATGACAAAACTTTGAGGGCTCATCTGTCTGTGGTGTGTAAATGTTTATATATTGTTACATATGAGCAATACCTGTGCATACATGATGTGAGTCATGTGGGAAAGTTCTGTGTATGGACAAGTAGATATGCTGTGTGTGATATGGGTATGTAAAGCACACTTGTAATTTTGGGTGCGCAACGTGAATGGAGACCAATTCTGTGTGTGATGGGGAGGTGTGCTCTGGATAATGAGTCATGTGGGACATGTCTGTGGTGGGCAGTATATATCGGTGGTTTATTTGTCATGTAATTTATGCAAAAACCATGTGCACTCTGCATTGTTGGTTTATCCAGTTAGGTGTGATGGTTCATATTTGTGTAGAATGTATGTCTGTGTGTGTGTGTGTGTGCTTATCAACTTTATCAACCTGTGTATGTGCTTATAATCTTTGTGTTAAACTTTTAAAACTCTATACATCTTTGCTAACTTATTTGAATTGAATGAAAATTAAATATTCCCTGTTCCCATCTTATTCCAAGTCTTTTTCATGAATTGTGTCCTGAGCCATCTCAAAAGCAGTTCTTCGCTGCCAGTGTCCCTCTTAGAGTTTCGCTTTCCACCAGGAAAAGCCTCAACCAAGTACCTAACTGAACAAACTGAGATAATACACTAATAGGAATTGTGTTTTCTAATTTTTCTCTGTAAAGAGCTTCCAAATGGATTGGATCAGTTAATGGGAAAAAATAGAAAATAATAAATATTTTGATTGAATAACTTTTGGCATCACTTCCCATTCTATTGATGATGTGCTATAGGCCCTCAGGAACAAAACAGTTAAAGAGATCATCTTGAGAATAGTAATCAATTATTCAGTACAACTACTGACTATATTCCCCACATTCCATACTCAAGAATCTCCTTCTACAGTCAACAAACAAATTCTGGGCGTGTTGCCATGCGGCATGTCTTCAGGAAGGTCTGAGGATTCAATGATGATTCAGACATGCCTCTTTGCCCAAAATATTCATATTAAGTAAGAAAGTAGTAGGTAGGAGGACAGTTTCAGTTTGTATTGCAGTGCCATGCTAGACTGCTGATGAGGTGATTAGATGTGCCTAGCCCTGATTATTTGGGAATAGGAGAAAGCAGTCAGATTATTGATCTCAGGCTTACAGGGGAGAGGGAGTCTTTTCTACTGGCAAGGCAGGAAGGGAGTTCCTGCCTCCATGGGAAGCTTCCTATGTCACACCAAGAACTTGCATTTTATCCACTGAAGGAAGTCATTGAGTAACATATGCAAAGGATGGGCATGGACATCTCTGCATGGTTCTGTTCACTTTTTTCTCATCTCCAAAAGCATATGGTGGGAAGTGTAAGAGGAACTCCTGTCTACAGCAGAAGTCCTCTCCATTTTACATTCCTCTTATGCCTAGAATGTCAAAGTGAGTTGAATACATTTCCCAATGTCATTTGTTTTTGTGTCATTTGCTTTTGTGGATAAACCTGCTCTAATCTATGTCCAAATACCTTATATAAACTTACGTTTTAGAACATTAACAAACAGTGTCTGGGAACATTTTTGTCAAAGGCAATTTGTAAATATAGCCAGAAAGTTGCAGCTGTTGCTACAGAGTCATTTTTAACTTTTAACTAACTCTAAACTTTCTGTTAAAAAGAGTGTAGGGTATAAAATACTTCTTGGTTGTTTTTTTTAAGTAATTGAGTAAAAATTTAGATACTTCGAATTGGATAAAAATATACCCACTATATAAACACAAAAATATAGACATACTTCTGTAGCTATTTTTTCTTCTGTTTCATCTTCTCATATTTGGAAAATGGAAAACAGAAAATATCAGGATGGTCGCCCAGACAAGGAACAGTGCCATTGCAAGAAGTGAAAGAAGGAAAGACAGAAACTACTTGCTAAGCTGAAATTCCCAACCCAGATAACTCTGAGTCTCCAAGGGCTTTGTTTAAGAAGCGCTGGGTTGGAAGCAAGAGACCAACATTTGCCCAAATCTTTCTGTGGGAGCTTTAGAGAAGTGGCTGTCCAGATTCAGTGTGAGGAGGATCACCTGGAGGACTGCTCAAGCCGTGGATTGCAGGGCTCTGCCCCAGAATTTCTGATTCCTTATGCCTGGGGCAGGGACTGGACATGTGCATTTCTAACAAGTCCCAATGTGGTGCTGCTGAGGCCACTCATAAGAGCACACTTTGAGAATCACTGTCTTGTGGATGTGGATGTTTAATCTTTCCAGGCCCCTTAAAATGTGAAAAACAACATCTCAAAGTGAGGTATAAATTTAAAAACACATACAAAACTTCTTACAATGTAAGTTGGCATTCAACCAAGGTAACTTGAGGTTACACAACATGAGTTCAAAGAGCCATGTAGCCTCCCTGATGTCCTAGCTTTCTTTGGTCATAGGAAATGGGCTAAATCATTTCCTAAAGAACTTTCCGTTACTTAATTTTATATTTAATTTGACCTAAAAAGCTACAAGCTATATCCTAACAGTGAAAGGAATTTGAGTCCAAAAATATATTTAGAAAGGAGCATTTTATTTTGTATAAAACAAGCATTCAATCCAAGTATCATTGACACATTTTAAGAATTAGTGAAAAATGTCTATTTACCTAGGTGGTTATTTCTGTCAATGCTTGCCAAATGTAATTATCATTTCGATTATTTAATATCTGCATTTTTCATAAAAGCATTGCATCTGAGATTAAGCTAGCATTATTTTTGAATTATAAATCTCTAGAATGTGATATAGACAAAGCTAACATATTAAAGGACTAAAAATAATAGACTAGTTTCTTTCCCTCTAAAATGCAATAAATAATGTATAGCTCAATGATGATTGTAGTCAGATGGCTCTCAGGTGATCAAGCATTTACTTGTTGTAGAAATAGACAAATGAAGCTTGATATTTGCAAAAATAAAGGGTAATCTAGGCTTATTTGCAATGACTATTGTCAGGTACTAGGGTTGGAGTACTGTGCCTTTCAAGCTAATTAAACCATTCATCTGGGATTTGGAGCCCTACATTTTGGCAATATCTGTAAAAGTGCTAATGCTTGCACCATTTGACCCAACAATTCCACTTCATCAAATTTCTTGATGGTCACATACTCCAAAAATGCAAGCACGCACACACACACACACACACACACACACACTCAAAGAAATCACTGTGTCTTTGTTTGTGAAAGCAACAATTAGACATAACTGAAATGTCTTTCAATAGGGGATGAGGAAAACTCATGATGTTTCTTTTATACTTGAAGAACTGTGAGTGCTTAGAAAGTATAAAGTTCATCTCTATGGGCTGCTGTGGAACAATACCAAAGATAAAAGGAGAGAGGTCAAGCTATAGAAAAGTGAGTACAGTATACTACAAACTGTACATAAAAAGGGATGGTAGTGATGAAATAGCTACACTTACACCTATATCTGCACCTAAACCTACAGTTGCATTTGTATCTATGCCTATTTCTCCACTTAAACCCACAGCTAAATCTATAGCTACATTTCAACCCACAGGTACATCTGTATCTAGACTTAAAGCTGTATCTAGTCCTACAACCATGCCTTTAGCTACATCTCACCCACATATGCATTCACATCTACATGTGTAATTATGTCTACAGCAACACCTACATCTATCTCTCACACATACAGCTATACCTGTATCTACAGATACATTCATGTTTCACCTCTTCAACTACATCTACACCTATATCTACTTGTACACTTACATTTGCAACTATACCTACGCATGCATTCATATCTCACCTACATCTGCACCTAAATCTTTTTTTTTTTTTTGAGACAGAGTCTCGCTCTGTTGCCCAGGCTGGAGTGCAGTGGCGTGATCTCCGCTCACTGCAATCTCCGCCTGCCGGGTTCAAGAGATTCTCCTGCCTCAGCCTCCTGAGTAGCTGGGATTACAGGCACTCGCCACCATGTCCGGCTAATTTTTGTATTTTTAGTAGAGATGGGGTTTCACTATGTTCGTCAGACTGGTCTCGTGCCTCAGCCTCCCAAAGTGTTGGGATTACAGGCATGAGCCACCGTGCCCAGCCACCTGAATCTTTATCTACACATGCGTCCATATCTCACCTACTTCCACACCTGAATCTGTGTACACACAGACATCTATCATCTACCTCTACATCTGAATCCTTATCTTTACATGTGTCTACATCTGATCTGTATCTCACGTAAATCTACATATACCTTTGCACCTACACCTATATCTCCACATCCATCTATAATATATCTACAGCTCATCTACATCTCTATAGTCTCATACCTGGGTTTAAAAATACGTCAGAAACTGCCAACAGTGTTTGACTTGGGTGAGAAACAAGGGTCTGAGGTAAGAGAGGGTGGAAAGGAATATTCGATTCACTGTTTTGTACTGTTTAAAGCATTGGCTAATTACATGTCTTAATTTTTCACTATGTAAATACATACATGTATATATACGTAAATCCTTCTCTAGAAGACAGAGAGCAGGAGATAGCTATACCATAAAATGTGAGTTCTGTTTAACCACAAGTCCTCTCCTACAGCTTTTGTGGTTTCTGTGTCTGCCTTCCGGATCAACTCTTGGTTGACTTTGACCTCAGATTTCTTTATGGCTGCTTGGGTTCTTAAAGGCCCCTGTTTGGATTTTACTTCTGGTGTTTAAGTTTCTAGTTCAAGCTTGTTTTAACTGTTCTGATTCAATTTTCTTTTCTTTTTTCTTTTCTTTTTTTTTTTTTTTGAGACTGAGTTTTGCTCTGTCGCCCGGGCTGGAATGCAGTGGCATAATCTTGGCTCATTGCAAGCTCTGCCTCCCAGGTTCACACCATTCTCCTGCCTCAGCCTCCCGAGTAGCTGAGACTGCAGGTGCCCACGACCACGCCTGGCTAATTTTATGTGTTTTTAGTAGAGACAGGGTTTCACTGTGTTAGCCAGGATGGTCTCGATCTCTTGACCTCATGATCTACCCGCCTCGGCCTCCCAAAGTGCTGGGATTACAGGCGTGAGCCACTGCCCCCGGCCTCTGATTCAATTTTCATTCAGTTTCATGAATATTACTAGGCTCAATATTGTAGAGACGGGGGAACTGGGGTGTGAGAGAGTAGGTAGCTTCCTAAAGACACATCTCTGGGAACTAATGGAACTGGAGTTTGAATCAGGTCAGCTTGAATCCAAAGACTGTGCCCTTTGCAGCTCATCATTGTGTCTGCCCTCACTGTATCTTAGCTCTATCTTGAAACGTATAGCCCACTATGATCTCAGGAATGGACGATTAGGGAAATTCAAATGAACATGTAGCTTGTGTTATTTGTGAACGTAGCTCTTGTTATAAAACATTTGTCCTTTCTTATGCTACTACCCCATAGGCTTCCTGTCGGTGCTTCCATCTCCCT